>NC_000009.12:66757532-66923678 GCF_000001405.40 Homo sapiens
CATTAACAAAGTAGGTAAAAGAGCCATTATTACACTTACACTTCTTTAACACTCAAATGTTGTTGAAAGGGGTTTTCTAGTTTATTCTGAAAATCTCCTATAATTTCTTCTTTTCTTTATTTACATGATTAAATTGTGGTCCATTTTATTTTTACTAGAAATGTTTCAAGTAAGGCTTTTAGGATACATTGCCCTACTTTTTGAGCCTCTTTTTGGCCCTCAGGCTTATTGTGGAAAGAAAGATGCTGTAGATCTCTGTCCTGGTGAATCCAACTGGCTTTTGCCATCAGGATTTAATGTCTGAGGATCTACAAACATAAATACAAGTTGATATAGCTCAGGTAACCCTGAGTTGTGTACAACTAAAAGAATTTAGAATTCTGAACTCCTTTGGGAAATGCTTAGTCATAGCTTTTAATTCAGCTCGTGTTCAAGGTTTAAATTCTACTGCTGCTTGCGTATTTGGGTCATTGAAGAGATGGAACTTTAGAGGTAAATGACATTCCGGGATCTTAGGAGAGTCACTGGGAGAAGGTAGGGGGTCTGGAAGAAGAGGGAGGAGTCAATGAGGTGTGAAAGGAGGATGGGGGGATGAGGAAGAGTTGCAGAGCTGAAGTCAACTGGAGGAGAAGCCGGGGGAAGATTTGCTGGGCAAATGAGTTAGTTTGTTGTTAAGTTTGTCATACTGTTCATTAGCTCTGGCCAAAAAATATTTTAGCAGAGTAATGTCTGAATCAGAATTTCATTTGAAAACTTGTGTACCAATCAAAAACTGCTGCCCATTGCCCCTGAGAAATATTCTCTCTTTTCTAAGGTGTTTTTCAAATGAACAATTTTGTTCAAGTCCAATGTTCTCCAGATTAGCCACTGAAGGCCTAAATTATCCTTGGTATAGAGATGGGTGCAAGTGCTAGGATCGTAGCAAGGGTACGTATAAGAAATGGGAGGTTTTTCTGGAGGAAAAAAAGGAAAAGAGGATTTACACTCAGAAAATTCCATGGGAGCTGGCAATGGTCAGTTGAAAGTAATATTTGTGCACTTTATGTCTTAGGCCCCCAACCTGATAGTTGGCAACCTCCAAATGCAGACTTGACAACTTGTGCCCACAGGCAAATGGAAAACCAGAATATTCCCTCTGCATCAAATCCAACCTCTCAGGGCCAAAAAAAAAAAAAAAAAAAAAAAAAGATGAAGAACCTTATCCCATTTTATTGGTGACTGACAGGAAAGTTTAGGAAAGTTTGTCCAGATGGATGCTGGTTTGGTAAGAATTGCAGCTCATCAGTTGTGGAGCAAGCTGAGACACTCTTAGAGGAGCAAAGCCTGTGTTCTGCACTGATTCTCCTTCTGATAACAGACAACACTTTAGACATATCTCATAAAACAGAAGCACAAAAGAGAACAAAAAGGAATGAAAAGAAATGGCAGTATTTTTCCAAGGGTGCCAAACAAATGGGAATTGGTAGCAAAAGCTGAGTACCAAGCTGATAGTCAATAACCAAGGATCTCAATACAAAGAGAACAGAGTTGAAGCCCAACTCTGTTCTCTCACAGACACTGTGTCAACACAGACTTGACAGGCCTCAAGAAGCAAGGCACAAGAGGCCTCCATAGATAGCACACTTGATCAGGGTCCAAAGTCCATAGTGATGAGCAGTTAAGAATGTGTCTCAGTGGAGCTTCTAGGAAAATTACAGAAATACAGACCAGGCATGGTGGCTCATGCCTATAAACCCAGCACTTTGGGAGGCTGAGGCAGGTGGATCACCTGAGGTCAGGAGTTCGAGACCAGCCTGGCCAACATGGTGAAACCCTGTCTCTACAAAAAATACAAAAATTAGACAGGTGTGGTAGCACATGCCTGTAGTTTCAGCTACTTGGGAGGCTGAGGCAGGAGAATCTCTTGAACCTGGGAGGCAGAGATTGCAGTGAGCCCATATCGTGCTGCTGCACTCCAGTCTGGGCGACAGGGCAAGATTCAGTCTCAAAAAAATTAAAAAATTAAAAAAAAAAACAGAAAATTACAGAAATAAAGGAGACAACTTAATGAGAACAGAAGCTATTTATTTCTTGCTTGCTAGAGAAAGGGAGGCAGTCACTATCATTTATGTTTGACAGAGACTCAGGCTGGGAGAATGGGAAAGCTTTATAGTGAAAAGGGGCAAGGCTTTGGGGTAGGAGGCTATGGGCATGGAGAGGCGCAGGTAGGCTAAAGAGAAGCAAGGCATCTGATGGGATAGGTTTGGAGAGAGTATTTGGCTTTCTTTAATTAGTACTAAACTAGAAGCAGGGGCAATCTTAGAGAAGTTGGCAGTCATTGACCAACCTCTGATTGTTTTCGGCAAATTGCTACTGAATTTGTGGCTTGCATTCCTGAACTGGCTGCTGCAGAGATTGTGGTTTGCCTTCCCAAGCTGGTTGCTGCAGTGGTTGTGGGTCAGAGTTCCATTGTCGTACGTGGTTTGGCCACTGTCTGTTTTAATATTCAGTCTCTATTACTAAAAGGTATACAAATGGCTAGGCTTCTCACTTCAGTTCTTCATGTACAAGCTCCTTTTAGAGGTTTCTGCACTAAACTATTGTAAAAAAAAAAAAGAAAAAAAAAGGCCAACTCCATTTATCCAATGTCAACCTTGACGTTAAGAATGATGAATGTGGCAGCTGTTTCCTTCTGTTATTGATCTTTTTACTGACCCTTCCCATTGTGCTTTGTCAATGACTGAGTATCTTCCCTGGACCGCTCTTATCTGAAGTCGTCCTCATCTCTCAGGGATTTTCAGCACCATCTGTCAGCCAGGCACTGTGACTCTGTCGTCAGTGACCATTTTTATTGACTTTTGTCTCTTTCTGGCCTTTCCATGGTGCCTTGGCCTTAAATGTCCTACTAATTAGCTCAGTGGTGATTACAGTGCTGGTTTTGAGAGCACCCTGTTGTTTTTTTCTTATCTAGGAGAATTTTTTTTCTCTCTTTATCTGGAAATATTACTTTGCTGGCTATGCTGACTTAGGTCATTGACATCAGATCAGTGTTCTAAATCTGATCCTAGTAATCCCATCTACAATCTTCCCACACAAGCCAAGGGAAGAGACACACTTGATTAAAAACCTTGCACTCTCTTTCCTATTTGGCTATTTTTTCTCCTCTTGGAGAAAGAGTTTCCCCAAAATACTATATGAAGTGTTATTTTGTAAGCCTACTTAACTTAGTTTTATATACTGTGCACAAACTTTACATATAATTTGAATAGGCTCAGTTTTTTGTTACTTTTTTTTAGTTTTTCACTGAATTTTATATGACAGACTAAGCTAAATAATTTGTTATAGTTAGAAGACTGTTTTCTCATTTACATACCAAAATCTACCAAAATGAATTTATTACACTTAAGAATTTTTGTTAATTACCATTACCACTTCTGTAAAATAAAATAAATCTGTAAGAATTTTATGAGCAAAGCTTTTTCAAGTCTACTATTTAGTTTAGCAATTATTCTAAATATCAATCTCAAAATTAGAGTAAGGGATTTCCCGTTTTAGGAAAAGATATCAATAATTATATAGTAAAAATTTAAAATTAAGATACAGACATTTATTCCGTGTTGGATCCCAAATATCTCATTAGAGAATTATCTTCTCTCATTGTCTGCTATTTTCTAAAATACAGGAAGATATAAAGTATAAATCTGATTTTTTTTCTACCAGAAGTTAAAGAACATAGAATATATTTGGTATGATTAATTGGGAGTTTGTATTTCCTCTGCAATCTAGAAATATTATTATTTTAAATATCTGCAATATTATTTATTTTAAAAGTTTTTAGTTTGAAAAGACATTTCTGAAAGCCCCAAATCTGTGAGCATGTGCTACTACAAAATTTTTAATTGTAAGCAATTGAGAGAGAAAAGTCCTCGAATTTGGCCAAGCGCGGTGGCTCACGCCTGTAATCCCAGCACTTTGGGAGGCTGAGGTGAGCGGATCACGAGGTCAGGAGATCGAGACCATCCTGGCTAACAGGATGAAACTCCGTCTCTACTGAAAATACAAAAAATTGGCCAGGTGTGGTGGTGGGCACCTGTAGTCCCACTACTCAGGAGGCTGAGGCAGGAGAATGGCATGAGCCCGGTAGGCAGAGCTTGCAGTGAGCCGAGATCGCGCCACCGCACTCCAGCCTAGGTGACAGAGCGAGACTCCATCTCAAAAATGAATAAATAAATAAATAAATAAATAAAAGTCCTTGAATTTATGCAAATGACATAGCAATCACTTCAACTCTTAAATAATCTAACCATCATGAGATAAGAGAACGGATTTTTTTCTACTCGTTTGTATCTTGTCTTTTTGAAAGAGACTACTTGTTAATAATATGCTTCTGACAAAACAAAAACTAAGGAAAGTGTATGATACAGGCCTGAGTCTCTTTCCTCAAGTTCACGTTTTAAAAATAAAGCATAATCAGGGATAATGTAGCCTCTACTTGTAAAGGAAGGCTGGCTTTATGTATTAATGAAATAGGCAGCTTCTTACACAATGTGATTTCAACAGAGCCAGGAAGTATGTCTTATCTCTAAATAACTCCCTAAATAACTCCTTCTAACACCAATATCTGAAATGTTGTGACTGATTTCTTTCTGTCCTGCCCTGAAGTTCTTTCCTGACTGCAAAGAACAGCACATTTTGAATGTTTCAAACTGTCATACATGTTCTCTCCAGAAGAGTGGAGTGATGCCCCACCAGACATTCTAAGTCACAGGATAACGTGACATATTTCATGATTGTCAGTTTTACCATGTGGCAAGTAGTTAAAAAGACGAAGTTTATAGTTCCAAGAACACAAACTATGTTATGGAATAGGACGAAACACAAGGAGTAAAGTAGTCCCTTGTTTTTGCTTTAGGTTACTCACCTTGCTATCCGTAATTGTATTCACTGAGGTATTGAGGAACACATTAACGTTGGTTTCAGATTTGTTGACTTTAAGTTCTACATCTGAAGTATGTTGGCACTTTGACCTTGCATAATTCAAAGTCATGTCTCTGCACCACTGTTTCATTCTATATAAAGTGATTGACAATAATAGTTTTCCCACCAAAGTTGGACTTCCATTTCTGTCAATTGGCCAAACTGGGTTTCCTAAAAAGCCTTGTAGCTCTACAAAATATCAGGAAATTATATCAAGTCTACTTTTAAGTAAATGTGAAGCTCTCAAGGAAGCCCTGATGGCAATCCAGAAATAGATAAAAGCAGTACAGGAGCTAGAGTTGCCTGGGGAACAGAAACTGACCTGGGTTACCCAGAGTTTGGGGTATTAACAACTACTCAGGGGAAAGTAAAAGTAGGCCTTGGACACATAAAATGTTGGGAAGGCTGAGCCAGACTTCTTGCATATAGCAGAGTCACAATAGGCTAAGAACATGAATTTAGGAAGGAAAGCAAAAAAATCTACAAGCAGTATGAAAAAAAAAATCTCCAACACCTTGATACATTTTAATGAATCATCAGATGACAAAGAAAAATACAAATTCTTGAAAGTGCCAGAGACAAATCAGAGATTCCTAGAGTGAAAAGAATGTCCACCTTTTAATGGGGTTGTTTGTTTTTTTATTGTAAATTTGTTTAAGTTCCCTGTAGATGTTGGATATTAGACCTTTGTCAGATGGATAGATTGCAAAATTTTTCTCCCATTCTGTAGCTTGTCTGTTCACTCTGATGACAGTTTCTTTTGCTGTACAGAAGCTCTTTAGTTTAATTAGATCCCATTTGTCAATTTTTGCTTTTGTTGCAATTGCTTTTGGCATCTTCATCATGAAATATTTGCCCATACCTGTGTCCTGAATGGTATTGACTAGGTTTTCTTTTAGGATTTTTATAATTTTGGGTTATACATTTAAGTCTTTAACCCATCTTGTGTTGATTTTTCTATATGGTCCATTTTCTGCATATGGCTAGCCAGAGTTCTCCCAACACCATTTATTAAATAGGGAATCCTTTCCCCATTGCTTGTTTTTGTCAGGTTTGTTGAAGATTAGATGGCTATAAGTCTGTGGTCTTAGTTCTGGGTTATCGTTTCTGTTCCCTTGGTCTATGTGTCTGTTCTTGTACCAGTACCATGCTGTTTTGGTTACTGTAGCCTTATAGTATAGTTTGAAGTCAGGTAGTGTGATGCCTCCAGCTTTGTGTTTTTCATTCAGGATTGTTGTGGCTATTTGGGCTTTTTTTTTTTTTTTTGGTTCTATGTGAATTTTAAAATAGTTTTTTTTAATTCTGTGAAGAATATCAATGATAGTTTAATGGGAATAACATTGAATCTATAAATTGTTTTAGACAGTATGGCCATTTTCATGATATTGTTTTTTTCTTATCCATGGGCATGAAATGTTTTTTCATTTTTTGGTGTCATCTCTGATTTCTTTGAGCAATGTTTTGTAGTTCTCTTTGTAGAGGTCTTTCAGCTCCCTGATTAGCTGTATTCCTAGGTATTTTATTCTTTTGTGGCAATTGTGAATGGGAGTTCATTCGTGATTTGGCTCTTGGCTTGCCTGTTGTTGGTGTATAGGAATGCTAGTAATTTTTGCACATCGATTTTGTATCCTGAGACGTCGCTGAAGTTGCTTGTCAGCTTAAGAAGCTTTTGGGCTGAGATGATGGCATTTTCTAGATATAGGATTATGTCATCTGCAAACAGAAATAGTTTCCCAAGAAGGGAGTTAAAACAGGAACATCTCACAGCCATTACAGAAATTGAAGCAGTATTTATGTATCTCAATTAAAACCAAACCACCATAAACGTATTTCTTTGAAAAATATCTTTTTTTTTTTTTGAGATGGAGTCTGGCTCTGTCGCCCAGGCTGGAGTGTAGTGGCGCCTTCTTGGCTTACTGCAAGCTCCGCCTCCTGGGTTCATGCCATTCTCCTGCCTCAGCCTCCCGAGTAGCTGGGACTACAGGCGCCCACCACCATGCCCGGCTAATTTTTTGTATTTTTAGTAGAGCCAGGGTTTCACCGTATTAGCCAGGATGGTCTCAATCTCCTGACCTCGTGATCCGCCCACCTCGGCCTCCTGAAGTGCTGGGATTACAGGCGTGAGCCACTGTGCCTGGCCGAAAAATATCATTTTTAATGCCTGCTAAAATATTCCACTATATGGATATACCAAAACTTACTACGTGACTTAGTAATTAAATGTATTTATATTCTGTCTTGAGTTTGCCTCCCATGTTTCAAATATACTAGTCTTCTCAGTTACATTGTCAAGGCCATTATTTATATTTTGATGGTATTCTCAGCACCAGCTGTTGTGATCATTGAAATGTATTCTTGACCTTAGATGCTCACTGCACACTTGACAGATTGGGAACTGAGTAGAGGTGCTTGTTAGTATCTGCATCTCAGTGGCTGGGGACAGCTGGACTCAGCTTGTGTGACTCATGCAAAGTCAGATGATCAGTCATAGAGGGAACTTGGAACTTAAAAGTGTAAACTGAAACTTACGCTTTTAAAAATTATTCTATCTCACATAGTGAGAAATCTTTATGACTCTTTAGTCTACAAAAGGGATCAGTGAACAGTTTCTGTAAGGTGACAGATGATATGGTATAGAGTAGTTCCCCCATCCATGGTTTCACTTTCTGTGGTTTCAGTTAAATGTGGTCAACTGTGGTCTGAAAATATTAAATGGAAAATTCTAGAAATAAATAATATATAAGTTTAGATTATATGTTGTTTTGAGTAGTGTCCCTCCTAGAACATGAATCACCACTTTGTCTAGCATATCCATGCCTTATACGCTACCTGCCCGTTAGTCACTTAGTAGCCTTCTGAGTTATCAGATTGACTGTTGAGGTATCACAGTGTTGTGTTTAAGGAGCCCTCATTTTACTTAATAATGGCACCAAAGCACAAGAATAGTGATGCTGGCTTATTGTTAGAATTGTTCTATGTTATTAGTAGCTATTGTTGTTAATCTCTTACCGTGCCTAATTTATAAACTTTATTATAAATATATATGTAAAGGAAACACAATATGTATGGTGTCCTGTACTACTGAAGATTTCAGGTGTCCACTGAGGATCTTGGAAGGAATCCCCTGTGGATAAGGTTGCACCACTGTAAATATGTTCAGCTTTGAGGGCAACATAGTCTCTGTCACAACTGCTCTACCTGCAACAGCGCCAGACAAATCTGGCTAAACTTTAATCCAACAAAGTTATGAGTTGGTCTGAGCCCTCAGGCTGAAGGTCATGTAAACTGAGCATGCCCAGATGAACCAAGTATGCAACCACAAGGGGAACAGAAGTGCCCAGACCAAGGAGAAGACCAAGGAGCAGGGACTGAATTAAGAAGCAGACGCAGTATGGAAGGATCCAGGATCCAATCAAATTGAGCTCTGGCATCAGCCCATTGTGGAATCGAATCAGATCATGCCTCCTGGCATCATCTCATTGCAGAATTCAATCAGATCACACCTCATTAGCCTATGCTTATAAAACCCGACCCAAACGTCAGCTGGGGGTGATATATTGGAGCACTTCCTCCTGTCTCCTTGCCAGTCCACTTGCAATGAAGCTTTTTTTTCCTCAAAAGCCAGTGCCATGGTCTTGGCCTCCATGTACATTAGGCAGCAAGCCCATTGTTTGCTCAGTAACACCCTACCTTTGCATCCCTTTGTATCGTGAAAACAGCCACAGAGACAATGTAAATGACTTTTATCTCATTTAAATGAATTGTCAACCTCAGCTAAATTACTACTTATCATATAAACAGAAAATGTAAATAAACTGATTATTTCTTTCCATCCATGTTTTTACTGTCTTCATGTATAGCATGTGTAGGATTTTGAAGTTAACTGTTTCTGAAAACTTACTTGCAAATTTTTCAACACTGCAAAAATTGCTTAAAATAATGAAGCCAAGAAAATTAAGCCAGGTTAAAAACATAAAAGAAGAAAAGGAAGGAGGGCAGGCAGGTAGGCATTTGTTAAAAGCTTCTTTCCCTCAGCATACTATTATTTGCGATTCAGCTGTCTTGTTGTGTTTATCAGTAAGTTGATTCTTGGCCAGGCACAGTGGCTTCACGCCTGTAATCCCAGCTCTTTGGGAGGCCCAGGCACGTGGATCACTTGAGGTCAGCAGTTTGAGACCATCCTGGCCAACATGGTGAAACCCTGTCTCTACTAAAAATACAAAAATTAGCCGGGTGTGGTGGCGGGCACCTGTAATCCCAGCTACTCCGGAGGCTGAGGCAGGAGAATCGCTTGAACCCGGAGGTGGAGCTTGCAGTGAGCCGAGATCTCACCACTTGCACTTCAGCTTGGGCAACAGAGTGAGACTCCTTCAAAAAAAAAACAAAAAAAAAGTTGATTCTTTTTATTGTGAGTACTGTTCCATTGTATACCATTTGTTAGCCCATTTTCTTATTGATGGACAGCTGGGATGTTTAGATGTTAGAAATAAAGATGCCTTGAACTATCATAAGTTTTCATGTGAACCTATGTTTTTTAGTTCTCGTGGGATTAGAACTGCTGGGACAGAGGATCAGTGAAACCTTAATTTTTTTTTTTTCTTTTTGAGATGGAGTCTCTGTCACCCAGGCTGGAGTGCAGTGGCGCGATCTCGGCTCACTGCAAGCTCCGCCTCCCGGGTTCACGCCATTCTCCTGCCTCAGCCTCCCAAGTAGCTGGAACTACAGGCGCCCGCAACCACACCCAGCTAATTTTTTGTATTTTTAGTAGAGATGGGGTTTCACTGTGTTAGCCAGGATGGTCTCGATCTCCTGACCTCGTGATCCACCCACCTCGGCCTCCCAAAGTGCTGGGATTACAGGCATGAGCCACCACCCCCGGCCGAAACCTTAATTTTATGAAATGTTTTTTATGTTCCAGACCTTAACTGATGAGCTTTTAAAACTAACTTCTAAATTTGAAATGTATATTTAATTATGGAATACGCTTTAATATAATCTTTTGGGATAATCACCTAATATTTTGCCTTGAGATTTTTAATATAAATAACAATAAAATAAATAACTAATAGTAAATGAATACCTTCTCAATCTTCCTAACCTTGGAATGTGGGGACAGGATGTGAAAATATCTTAGAGTTTTGAGATCTTTACACGGTTCCCTCAAGGCTTTTAAAAAGAGTATTTAATTGCTGGTAGTGGTAGCTGACGCCTGTAATCCCAGCATTTTGGGAGGCCGAGGCGGGTGGATCACCTGAGGTCAGAAGTTCAAGACCAGCCTGGTCAACACGGTGAAACCCCGTCTCTACTAAATATACAAAAATTAGCCAGGCGTGGTGGCAGGCGCCTGCAATCCCAGCTACTCAGGAGGCTGAGGCAGAATTGCTTGAACCCGGGAGGCACAGGTTGCAGTGAGCTGAGATTGTGCCATTGTGCTCCAGCCTGGGCAACAAGAGCGAAATTTCATTCCAAAAAAGAGTATTTAATTGTGTTGATTTTAATGATTACTGAAATTTTGGCTGTTTTTTTGAAACTATTTCTTGTTTCCTTTCTCTTTCCCTTGTAAATAAGCTGTAAGAGAAAACTGCTTAATCACAAAACGTAACATAAGGCTTTCATGTCAGTGTCCAATAGGAATGAATTTTTTATGGTGACAAGGTAGGGTTATAATCCAGATCTCTGGTAGGCACATCCATAAGGTGCAAGGTGTATAGAAAATAGCATCAGTTTTTTTGGCTGGGTGCAGTGGCTCACGCCTGTAATCCTAGGATTTGGGGAGGCTGAGGACTGTGGATCACCTGAGGTGAAGAGTTTGAGACCAGCAGATATAGTGTTCTTGTTCTCAAAGCCGAGGTGGGTGGATCACCTGAGGTCAGGAGTTCAAGACCAGCTTGGCCAACATGGCAAAACCCCGTCTCTACTAAAAATACAAAAATTAGCCAGGCGTGGTGGCAGGTGCCTGTAGTCCCAGTTACTCAGGAGGCTGAGGCAGGAGAATGGCGTGAACCCGGGAGGCGGAGCTTGCAGTGAGCCGACTGCACTTCAGCCTGGGCACAGAGTAAGATTCCATCTCAAAAAAAAAAAAAAAAAAAGAGTCTAGGATCCAGAGAAGTAAACTGTATTAATGATGTGGTCATATGCATGCCAGAGCTTATTTGGAAATGCACAGAATTGATTCCAAGATGTTTTAATAATGCAATCTGGGGTTTGCATCTCAAAGTAATGATCCATCAAGGATGGTCTTTAGAGCTATTTTCTAACTCACATGCTTAGTGGAGACTCACATCAAAATGCCCTGTTAATAGCAATCAGTAGCTGGTAAACTGAAGCCTGATTCAATTTGTGTCATTTCCCTGCAAATTCGTACTCCATTTCTGTGCTATCACCTGAAGACCACCCACCCAAAGCTATTAGTATACAATATGATGTGTAAGAGAGCTCCATGACTTCTCTGTGGAATAAATTATTTCACCGTATTTTTAAAACTATTTTTCATGTTTATACTCAGAGTAAATGAGCAATGTTACAACTATTCTTCTCTGTAAATTGTCACACCTTAAGTTCCTTAGGATGGCTCAACTCTTTCACTCTTCCAGCATGGGAAATAATTGTTTAATAAAAATAAAACATAACAATGGATTCATGATCCAAAGAAGACAAAATAGAAGATTTTTTGTTTTCTATTTCTCTTGACTCCTCAGCTAATTGTACCACCACTAAACCTTTCTTTATCTCCCCCACCTCACAGGCTTAATCTCTAATGCTGCTCAACATTTTATATCTATGTGGAAACTACCATTTAACTAAATTTTGTTTGATGTGGAAAAAAAATCATTCTTTCAATATTTGATAATTTTGGATAGCTAAGCACTTTTGTTAGATTTTTATGTTCTTCAAGAGAAATAAAATAGAGGCAGTGGAAAGGATTACTTAGTCCCCAGGGGTTGAATACTCACCCGAGGACTCAGTGCATTTGATTCCTGATACTCATTTAAGACCCCTTTTCATGCTTACTTACTAGGACTTCTTAAATTTGTCTTCTTCCAGGTGAAATAATTCAAAACAACTCAAGAATGGAACTACTGATTCATTAATAAAGAACAGAAAATAAACAAGGGCAAAACTTGAGAACATAAATACACAAAAACACAAAGACTCACTTAATTTTTATCTCAGATAAAAAAGGAAAGTAGTTTGCTGAATTTGCCTTTCTACTAAGAAGTCTTCGCTTTCACTTGGTTGGGAGGGTACTTAACATGAAGAAGCAGGAATTCCTGGAAAACAGGCCCCTTCTACCCTAACGTGTTTTCTGTGGGGTCGTTCAGTTATTGTCCCTAAGCAGAGGTAACTGGGAAATAGCCTTGGGCTGTAATTTTCCCATTTTACCTTAAGCAATATCATAACTAGCAACGTGTGACACCCAGGAGGTTTGTTTTCTAGATAACACTCTCTTTACGATATAAGGGCTCTTTGAGAGAGTTAATATAATAAATCCTCAGAGTAAAGTCTAGGATACTCTTTAGAAATTAAATATTACTTGAAACATATGAAAGCCATTCAGCAGGTGACAGAGCTATTTACAAATAGATTAAACATCTTTCAAGTAAATTATTATTTCATTAATGTTGTTAGTGTTTATGCACTAAAACATAGCCCAAAATAACATATTTTATCCTCATATTGTAACACAATTTATGTTACACTTGAACAAAAATCCCTCAGTGTGCAGCTGATTTTAAATCCATCATCAGTTCTACTAGTCAAAAGTGGAGAATCTTTTTGCATTTGTACCTCTGGTAGCCAAAGTAATGTATCTTCTCTCCATGTTTCTTTATCCATCCATTCATTAATGTGCTGTTTTCACATTGCTTCGTTTTGAAATTGTCCATGGCCCAGCTGAACCAAGCAGAAAGATTTCCCAGGCTGGTTGCATTGTATTTCACCTTCTGTTGTCATTTCCTTTGGTCTCGTAAGAATAAAATCCTTTGGTCTCATAAGAATAAAATGAGTTTTTTTTTCCTTCGAGCATGTAGAATATTTTTGGTTATTGTTCAAAAGTGAAGCCACAAATCAAAAAATGTTTTTCTTCTTTGTTTATTTGCTCCTCTAGCAATGTATATTTCATATATGTGAGTGCTTATGTCTAAATTTCAGGTCTACATTCAGCACAGCATCTTCATGGACAGCTAATGAGATTGCAGATGGTAAAGCAGAACATGTGTGGTCATGGGATGAAACTACTCCAAATATCTTATTAAACCCTGACACTCCCCTCTCTCACAGGCCTCCTTTGCATAAACATTTTATATTACATTTTTATAAAGACATAAATAAATGAATACCTCCACTGTAATTTTTCTTAAAATTTAGCATGATTATCTCCTTTGAAGAATAGAATGGTCCTTTAATCAACCAATTAAAATTGTATAACCCACCGGAAGAATTCATATATTATGTTTAATAATTAGTCACAAACCATATGTCTGGGACTATTTAATATTGACTTTAGCTCCATGTATATTATTTCCATCTACTTTTTTATTTTAGTAGGTTAACAGTATGAGTATGAATATATGAATTTCTAAATGGAAAGAGATGTACTTTATTAAGCTTTGGATTGTCAAGGAGAGCAATGGTTAAATATGACTAAGGTCCATTTATATTTAACTCTGCTATTTTTTTCTGGAATTGACAGTATAGGTGAATGCATGCTCATATTGTACTTTCTCCTTTGAAATAATGAAGAAGCCAGACAAAAGGATTATTGCTCGCAGAAGAGAATAGAAAAAAGCAAGAGAACCAGGGAAAGAAGGACCCAATCCACTTTCTCTAAAATTATTCTTGTTTGAGACAATGACTGATTTCATGAGTATCTTCTTACCTCTCTCTGTCTTTTTATGGCATATTTTAAGGTTGATTTTTGAACTGCCTTTATATATGTTTTCTAAGGTTTCAATGAAGGTAAATATGCCTTTGCAAACTATTTCTCAGGCTATGAACCATGAGTGTGTGGGTCAGTGAGTGGCAATGATGACATGCCACACTTGTGGAGAAATAAATGATGAAAGGTTAAATGCTTTTTGCCTTAGATCAGGAAGAAGAGGTTGTTCACTTGTTTAGAATGAACTCTCTGAGTTTCTTTATCTGCTCAGCTTGTAGCCATTGTTTCTGCAGCCACCAGAGACCCAGACAGAAGCGCAGCAGCAGGAGATCCACCTGCATGGGTCAGATTGCAGATGTGGCTTCAATGACATGACCACAGTGTGAAAGTTCCCTGGGGGGCACACAGCATGCTTAGAAAACACACACACACACACGGAGGTCAATGCCTTTATTGGGTCCAGGGCATTATATAAACAGGGAGCTTTAAATTGATGGGCTTAAAGCAAGCAGGCACTAGTGCTAGGAAGTCACATTGTGACTGAAAAGTGTCTAAATGGTCTGTTTAGAGGAATCAGCAGGAAAGCTGGGAGCCCAGCCTGCTACGAGACAGAGATGCCTCCAAGTTTTTATTTCTGGTCACCATCTGGAGCCATTTGGGGGGTATAGTACAGGAAACTGCATCAAGGGTGACTGAACCCTGCTTCTGGTTTGAGAAAGTTAAACACATATTTGAAAATGGATGCTAAGGCAACATAAAACTTTAAGCACTCACTGCAGCACATTTACCTCTTTTATTTACCATTGTATTGGAGGTTCTAGCCAAGATAAGATAATTAAACAAAGAATAAAGTAAAGGCATTCAGATTGGAAAGGAAGAGGTAAAATTAGCTCTACTTGCAGATGACATTACCTTTATATAGAAAACCCCAACAATGCCACTAAAAAAAATTATTGGAACTAATAAACAAGTTCAGCCTGACGGCAAGGTACAAGATCAATATACAAAAATTGTAGGGGCCCGGCCCTGCACAGCGCCCTGGGGAAGCTGGTTTGAAAGCTCTGGAGCGACCCCAGTGCCGGGTAAAGGACAAGATTTGCCCAGACGGAAGGGAACTTGGGGAGAGGTGGCCGTAAGAGTGTGGGATGAAAATGTTTCGGGCAGAGCGGTCGGAACACAGCTGAGGAAAACATGGTGGGAGGAGTCATTAATATGAATGAGTGGCAGGGACAGGGCGTCCTTGCAGCGCCCTCGGTGTTGGAAGGGAAGACCATGCAGCGCGATGGGGATCAGGGCGGCGGGCCGCAGCCGGGGTGGGGTTGGGCGCCGGTCAGGGTGCCTTGAAGCAGATTCTGTCCTCAGGAGCTGCAGTTCTTCCTCCTCCGCCCTCACCGGCGGGCGACCTTAGGCAGGGAGTGAAATGCAACGGGAGCCCTGGAGGGAGGGTGAAGCCGCGCGTGCAGGAGGAACCTCCTATTGGCGAGTTCAGGTCCCCCAGCTGCGGAGGTGGGGGACCCTGTGTGGCAGCCTGCTGAGCGGCTGCGTGCTCCGCCCTTGGAGGGGGGAAGCTGTAGCCCCCCTCCTCTTTTTCAGCCAAGAAACCGCTAGTTACCCCCTTATGCAACCAAGACTGTAATAACCCTGTCACCTTTCACGGCCCTCCGGGTCTGCGCCCATCCTCTGAGTATTCACTTTTCCACCCCGAGGCCTGTTTTCCTCACCTGTTGTCGCTCTGGCAGAACCTAGGCCCCTCGGAGACCAGCCAGCATCTATCTGCCCGCTGTTCCCACCCACCACACTCCCTCCCCAGTTCTATCCCAGCTCCTTAGACGGTTGGAGTTCAAACCTCAGACCATGACAGCACACAGGCCTGGACTCCGGTATGGCCCTGGACAAGTTCCTTAATCTCTCTGAGCCTCAGCTTTCTTCCACGTGAAGCAGCGGTAACATTGTTATTAGGAGCCTCCCGGCCCCAGCACACCGACATACATACAACTGGATATCCATCCTGCCTGTGAGGAGTCGTCTTTACTTTGGGTTGTTTCTTGTCCACAGAGGTCCACACTTTATTTTCCTGGAGGCACCAGCGGAGTCACTGATGCACCCCTGCATCCAGCATGTTTAAGGGAGACAGTCTGGGGAGGGCAGGAAGAGCCTAGAGGGTCCCCTAGTGATTAGGGCTGTGATGGGGATGTTACTGGAAAAGGGTCCCTATCCAGACCCCAAGAGAGGGTTCTTGGACCTCCTGCAAGAAGGAATTTGGGGCAAGTCCATAAAGTGAAAGCAAGCTTATTAAGAAAATAAAGGAATGAAAGAATGGTTACTCCATAGGCAGAGCAGCGGCATGAGCTGCTCGACTGACTATACTTACAGTTATTTCTTGATCATATGCTAAACAAAGGGTGGATTATTCATGAGTTTTCCGGGAAAGGGGTGGGCAATTCCTGCAACTGAGGGTTCCTACCCTTTTTAGACCCTAGAGGGTAACTTCCTGATGTTGCCATGGCATTTGTAGACTGTCCTGGCACTGGCAGGACTGTCATTTAGCATGGAAATGCATTATAATTAGCATATAATGAGCAGTGAGGATGACCAGAGGTCACTTTCGTCACCGTCTTGGTTTTGGCTGGCTCCTTTACTGCATCCTGTTTTATCAGCAAGGTCTTTGTGACCTGTATCTTGTGCGGACTTTCTATCTCATCCTGACTTAGAATGCCTAAGCTAGTGGGAATGCAGCCTCACAGGTCTCAGCCTTATTTTACCCAGCCCCTATTCAAGATGGAATCGCTCTGGTTCGATCACCTCTGACAGGGGCAGTGTACATTCACATCTTGGCCTTTGCTGCCTCATCCTTCCAGATCTTTCAGATGCTTGCCCTCTGGCATTCTAGGATAGGAAGACTGCTTCCAAAGTGACGCAGGATTTTTCTCGGACACTTTTCCAACTGCAGACTTCTGGCTGGCGATGCCCCTGCCCATGCCTAGCTCTGCCCCAGGCAGGAGGTGCCCTGCCCACTTGGGCTTGCACTCTGGTGGGGATCCTGCAGCCACCGAGACTGCATGCTCAGCCCCAGTAGGAGGGGGTGTGTGATCAAGTGAGTGCCTCATCTTGCCAGCAACTCCAAGTGCTGGCACAGGAGCGGGCTCCCTTTGGGGCCTGCAGCTTCATCAGGCCTGTTGGAAGTGACTCCGGGGGTGAACTCTGGCATGCAGATGAAGGGAACTTGGTGGCGCCCAAACAGGAAAGCACTCGACTCTGAAGCCCCAGAGGGGATGTTACAGCCATGCTAACAGCTCTTTTAGTCCCACCGTCAGCAGCCTGACAAACGGGCATGTTAACAATGAATGGGGGGTGTGTTAACAACTCTGTCAGTCCTGTTGCCTGCTCCTGCCAGAGGCTCCCTGGCTGGCCTGGCCCTGCACTGCCTCTCATGGCAAGGGGCTGCCACTGGGCACAGATAGTGGGGGAGGGGTGGAGGGCTATGGTGTTACTGCCTTCTTCGTACCCTTTGCTGACAATGGAAAGGTGAAAAGGGCGGAGAAGAGTTTTATGAAGCAATGAAACAGCTCTCAGCGGAGAGGGGATGCGAGGGTGGTCCCTGACCTGAAGTCAGGTGGTCTCTCTCCCAGCGTGGCTGGGTCCGGGGCTTTTATGGGCTCAGAAGTGGGGACTGCATGCTGATTGGTTTACGAGTATACAAAAAAGGCTAAAACAAAGGAACCATTCAAAGGTGGCATGACAGTGTAGAAAACCACTTAGGGAAGGGTAGATATATATAAAGTAAGTGAAGTGTGGGGATCAGTCAGAGGAAAGTGCACCAACAGGAAGAGATGTTCTCAGCTCGGTCCATGGATTTATCCAAGACTTGTAGCTTAGCTTTTGGGCTTTAAACTGCCTTTGGTTTGAAAGTTGGATTTCATTGGGGACATGCCACTATCTGCCTAGGGGCTTGTCTGACTCCTGCCACTATTAAAAGTACTAAATCAGTGCATCTAGCCTGAGGGCTGCCCCTCATCCACCCAGCAGAGGTTTTTGTTTTGTTTTGTTTTTCTTTTGTTTTAATTAAAATTTTAATTAAAAGGGACTAATATAGAGGGTTTTTAAAAAATTACCATATGTGTTGAGTATTTATGCTATGCCAAGCACTTTGCATATATTTTCTCATTTAATCCTCTAAATAGCAAGGTTGATTGCCTTATCTCCATCCTATAGATGAGAAAGCTGAGACTGAGAGAAATTAAGAAACCCACATGAGGTCATGTTGTATGTAAGTTAGTTTTTGCTGCATCATAAACCACCCGTTTATGATTTCAAACAGGTAATACTTGCTTCTCAATAACTGGATGGGGGCTGGATGGCTAAGGGGCCTCATATTTTAGGGACAGGAGGAGCTCATCGTCAGCTGGGTGATGGGAATGCGACCACAAGTCTCATTATCCAGGAGAGCTTGAACATAGGGGTTGAGTTTCAAAAGCAGCATAAGGGCAGCAACACAAGAACTTCCCATGTCTCACTTATGTCATATTTGCTATTCTCCCATTGGCCAAAGCAGGTCACAAGGGCATGGCCAGCCGGTATGGAAGGGGACAACCAAAGGGGTAGACACAGGGAGTGAGAATTGCTGCCATTTTCCCCAACAAAGAATCTACCATCCATAGCTTCTAAGTGTACAACTGGAAATCAAAACTAAGTTTGTCTTACTTGAAAGTTCAAAACTGTCTTGGAGCTACTGCCCGGGGTCTAGGAATCCAGAACATTCCACACATTGCCTAAGTCAACAACCTGTTGCGCACACACACCAGCAACTGTTTTACAAAAGTATGTGGATCTGGTTGTCATTGATAAAATGCAAATTAATTTAGATGTATTATTCCATTCATAGTATAATTTTGTTGTATTTTCAAATCAACAGATATTTACGTCATTTCAAAGCAGCTCTTCACAAATTATTCATTAGTTACAAAAGGAAGTCACTTCACAGTGGAAAAATCTGGCAGGCGCCACCTTAATCAAGTAACCAAAATGAACATCCTCAGTAATAGGACAAATTGCAATCGTGTGCCTCCTGATAGTCTAGCAAGAAGAACACAGCATCACTTCTATGATGCTCCTGCCAATAATACATAACTGGAATCTAATCCTAAAGCAACAAATTCAAATTAAGGAAAATTCTACAAAATAATTGGCCTGTAATAGAAGTGTAAAGTCATGAAAGTTAAGGAAAGACTGAAGAACTGTTCCAGACTGAAGATGAAAGAGACGTGAGAAATAAGTGCAGTGGTGATTCTGAACTGGATCCTGACTTGGCAAAACTTGAATAGGTCTGTTGGTTGGATGGTAGAAATCTATTAATGTTGATTTCCTGATTTTGCTAGCTATATTACAATTTTATTGCATTCAGTCCTTGTTTATAGAAGACATACAGTATGTAGGGGTTATAGGGAGTCAGGTCAGGAATTTTCAAGTCATTTAGCAAAACAAAAGTTCTTTGTACTTTAATTCCAAGACTTCTATGAATTTGAGATTATTTTTAAAATACTTAAAAAAAACTCCTTTAAAGTCTCTCAACATGCTGTCCTATTAATAATAGATTTCTAAATTTGTTTTTATTTTTATCAAGGTTTTGTGTGCCCATAGTTTGAAGTATTAAATCTTTTTTTATTTATTAAAATATTTTTTAATGTCCATTCAGAGGTAATGAAGTGTTAGTTTTTTTTTTGTGTTTTTTTTTTTTTTTTGAGACAGAGTCTCGCTCTGTCACCCAGGCTGGAATGCAATGGTGCAATCTCGGCTCACTGCATCCTCTGTCTCCCAGGTTCAAGCAATTCTCCTGCCTCAGCAACCCGAGTAGCTGTGATTACAGGCGCCCGCCATCGTGCCCAGCTAATTTTTGTATTTTTAGTAGAGACAGGGTTTCACCATGTTAGTCAGGCTGGTCTTGAACCCCTGACCTCAGGTGATCCACCCGCTTTGGCCTCCCAAAGTGCTGGGATTACAGGTGTGAGCCACTTTGCCTGGCTTGAAGTGTTAGTTTTGTCTTTTTTTTTTTTAAAGAAAAGTAGTTCCCTTATCTCCACTTTCCCCCTTTCCTGCACCTCAGAGGCAACTGCTTTCAGCTGATTACTTTGACAGGTATGACCCTATTTCCACATAATTGCTTATGTCATTATTTTTTTCTTTTTGAGGTAGGGTCTTGCTCTGTTGCCCAGGAGTGCAGTGGCGCGCTTGTAGCTCACTACAACCTTGAACTCCTGGGCTCAAATGATCCTCTGGCCTCAGTCTCCTGATAAGCTGGGACTACAGGTACATGCTACCATGCCTGGCTAATTTATTTTCACAGAGACAAGGTCTCACTATGTTGCTTGGGCTGACCTCTAACTTCTAGGCTCAAGTGATCCTCCCGCCTCGGCCTCCCAAAGTGTTGGAATACAGGTGTTGAAATCAAGTTTAGCCTAAAGCTGCCTCCTTATATATTTAAGTTTGGCCTAAAAGTTTGTCTGTATATTGTGACAAGTGGAGGTGTAAACAGACTACACTTGTGCCAATCACTGAGTTTTGGCCAATCAAATGTAGCCAACTGTTCAAACCATGTTCAGATAAGGCAAATGCCAAGCTGCAGCCAAACCCAGCTGTTTCTGTACCTCACTTCCATTTTCTGTCCATAAACCTTCCACCGCGTGACTGTGCTGGAGTGTCCGAGCCTACTCTGCCTGGGAAGGCTGCCCGATTCTTGAACTGTTTGTTGCTCAATTAAACTCCTTTAAATTTAAAAAAAAAATTGTATTTCTCTACTCTAGCAATGAACACTTCAAATTAAGACAATTCCATTGATAATCGCATCAAAAAAGAAAATGCTTAGAAATTAATTATTCAAAAAGAGCAAAAGTTATACCCTAAAACTACAAAACATACTTGAAAGAAGGTAAAAAAAAAAAAAAGGAGTAAATAAATGACAAGACACTAATGTTCAGAGATTGGGAGACATTATTAAGATGGCTTTCCAAATTGATATACAGTCACCACGTCTCTATAGAAATCCCAACAGCCTTTTCTGTGGAAATTGACAAGCCCATCCAAAAATTCATGTGGAAATGCAAGGGACTCCTGATAGTCAAAGTAATCTCAAAAGTGAAGAGCAAATTTGGAGTATGCACACTTCTCTATTTCAAAATTTACTACAAAGCTATAGTAATAATTACAGACTTGTACTGGCATAAGGATAGACATATAGACCAATGGGATACAGCTAAGAGTCTAGAAATCAATGTTTACATTAATAGTTGATTTTCAACCAGAATGCCAAGGCTGTTCAATGGAAATAATAGTCTTTTCAACAAATGGTGTTGGGAAAACTGGATGTCACATGCTAACGACTGAAACTGGACCCTTTCTTCATATTTTATACAAAAAGTTACCTCAAAAATATATACTAAAATTTAATAGATAAAATTATAAAACTCTTAGAAGAGAGCATAGGGGAAAAAAATCTTCTTGACTTTAGCTTTCTTAGATATGACACCAAAAGCACAAGCAACAAAAGAAGAAAATAGATAAGTTGGACTTCCTATAATTTATACATATATGAATATATCACATTGTATCCCATAAATACACACAGTCATTATTTGTCAATTGAATTTTTTTTTAAAGTAAAAAAAAATTTTTTTTGAGGTGGAGTCTTACTCTGTCACCCGGGCTAGAGTGCAGTGGTGTGATCTTGGCTCTCTGCAATCTCTGCCTCCTGGGTTCAAGCAATTCTCGTGCCTCAGCCTCCCCAGTAGCTGGGATTACAGGTATGCGCCACCACAGGTTAATTTTTGTATTTTTAGTAGAGACGGGTTTTCGCCATGTTGGCCAGGCTTGTCTTGAACCCCTGACATCAGGTGATCTGCCCGCCTCGGCCTCCCTAAATGCTAGGATTACAGGCCTCAGCCACTGCGCCTGGCCAGAATTTTTGTAGTTCCAAAGATGCTACCAAGAAACTGAAAAGACGACACACAGAATGAGAGAAAATATTTGCAAATCATATATCTGATAAGATATTATATCCAGAATGTATAAAGAACACTTACCACTCAGTAATAAAAAGACAAATAACCCAGTTTAAAAATGAGCAATAAATGTGACTAAAGATTTTTCCAAAGATTGGCCTATGTGCTCATAGGAAGATGATCAACATTATTTGTCATTAGAACAATATAAATCAAAACCACAAAAAAGGCTGGGCATGGTGGCTCACACCTGTAATCCCAGCACTTTGGGAGGCTGAGATGGGCAGATCACTTGAGGTCAGGAGTTCGAGACAAGTCTGGCCAACATGGCAAAACCCTGTCTCTACTAAAAATGCTAGCTAAAAATTAGCTAGCTAAAAAATTAGCTAGCTAAAAATTAGCTAGGCATGGTGGTAGGTGCCTGTAATCCCAGGTACTTGGGAGGCTGAATTTTACTTTTAGATGGATAAAATGTACATTATATAAACTATATGTCAATACAGCTATGTATTTTTTTAAAGTACAAACTATTTTTTTAAATACAAAAACATTACATAGAGTGAACTCTGTGGCACAGCTGCCATACTGAAGGAATTATACTGTGTTTAAAAACCTGATTAAAAATTAAGTTTTTAAAAAATGGGGTCATTAAATTTTATTTTAAGGTTTTAACAGTTCTTTACCCAAGCCAAACATTTTATCTACAGTTGCCCAAGGAAATGCAGTAAGCGGGTTACTTAATTTCCTCCCTGTGGCAATCCTTGGCTCTCGCCCTTCTTAACACTTTATTAATGCAAGTCAGCAACTGCTAGTTTTACATCTTATCTTTCATCAATGTTTAAGAGATAGCAAGTCTAGGGCTCACTATGATCTGCTAATATAGTTCTTAACAAGACACTTAGCTTCCATAGTTATTTGCCAATGAAGCAAGAAAGTGGTACCACTTCATCATTATTCTGATTTTATTGGAGAGAGTGAATGTGTGAGTTTACTGAGGGAAGCAGCCCAAGGAAGTGGGATGGGACAAATTCTACAACAGAGATCACCCATAGACAAGGAGTGGACCCATGAAACTTAAAGACGTAGCGATTTAGGGAGTGACTTTACATCCTAGGATTAATGTCTTTGGGGGTTTATGATTAATATTTAGTTCCTTGTTGCCATGTAACAGAAGATGTAAATGGGTTGCTGTGGTGAGTCATATTATAATTTTTGTTTTTTTTTTTGAGACGGAGTCTTGCTCTGTCTCCTATGCTAAAGTGCAGCGGCGTGATTTTGGCTCACTGCAACCTCTGCCTCCCTGGTTCAAGTGATTCTCTTGCCTCAGCCTCCCGAGTAGCTGGGACTACAGGTGCCCACCACCACGCCCGGCTAATTTTTGTATTTTTGGTAGAGACGGGGTTTCACCATATTGGCCAGGCTGGTCTTGAACTCCTGACCTCGTGATCTGCCCGCCTCGGCCTCCCAAAGTGCTGGGATTACAGGTGTGAGCCACCGCGCCCAGCCAATTTTGGTTTTAATTAGAAACTAGATAGGATGCGTACCAAATATATATTATGACGTGTCCCCACCCCCTGCCAAATAGACACATATACATTGTCTCCTTATCTTTTCTCCAATCACAGTATCTATTTCACTCACAACTTTTATGCAAAATCATGAAATAAAAATAATTTAAAAAATTATTAATCTTCAAAATCTTAAAAATTATTAATCAAATGGATAAATTTGATATATGTGATATTATTTGTCTTTGGTAATTTTGTAAAGACTTTTAAACTGTTTTTAACATTCAAAAGGAAAGACACATCTCTCTCTTTTAATGTAGAAGGTCAGTCTTGGTTATTTACAGCATACATGGGGGGCCTTATCTGATTCCCCAATCCCTGGAAAAATAGAGTTGAACGCTCATTTGATCCCATTCCACATGCTACTGGTTTCCCTCCTGTTCACCCTGCTCCAGCCTTGAGGATGTTCTTGTTGAAATATCACCATCCAAAGCTCTTCCTCTATCAGGCTTTTGCATTTGCTGTTCCCTTTTCCACATCTTCTCAAGGCTGGATCTTCTTTAGTTTTCAGCAAAATGTGAACTCTGTGAAGAGGCCTCCCTGACCACTCAAACTAAATTAGCCACTGCCCCATGACTAGTTTTTTTTTTTTTTAACTTCCTTAAAGTGCTTTAACTTCCTCAAGCCCTTATTATTATTCTTTGAGTGCATTTTGATTATTTGTTTCTTGTTTATCATCTAGAAGTAGATGACAACTTCATGACAACAGGAACATAATCCTCATGAGGGCAGGCATTTTACTAGTATTGTTCACGATTACTCTCCCACTCCCATGTCAAGTTCTGTGCTGTGATAGGCATTCAATAAATAATGGAATGAATGAATGACAGACAAATGTCACACATCATGCCACCTGATGTTATAACATCCAATGTTGATAACCGAACAGAAGCAAAATTAAAGGCCATGAGATATTGGAATGGTCACACTGATTAAAGGCTTTGTGGGCTGCACCTCATTGCACACATTTATCAATGACTGAATTAAGGTGATATTTAGCAGTTTGATATTACCTATGAAAACAAACCAAATGGATGTAGCATGCTTTCTTTTTTTGAAACATATTTAATAATTGATTTCAATCATTTTCAATCTGAATTTTAATATACTTTTAACAACAGATTTCATAGTTTGGTCTTGTTTTTCTTGTTTGTTTAGTGACTCGTTTACTTGAGCATTAATATTAAGCCAGTTCTTTGTGTAGTTATATGTAGAAGTAGCCATCAACTCCCAAGCACCAACTCCAGGCCAGTTCGAATACGGAGGACTCACTTGAATTCCTGCATCTCAATGATGGTACAGCCTGGAGCCCTTCTGTCCTCCATACCAATAGGCAGTTACAGCTGATTTGGTTGTTTGGCAGCGAATCTCTGTCCTGCTGCCTTCAAGCTGCCATTTCATTTCTTCAATATGGAGACAGGAAACGTGGCTTACCATCAGCAACAAGCTAGTAGTAATCATCCTCATGGAAGACATAAAAACGTTTGTCAAGAGGGTCCAAAGTTTGTAGCTGGTGAGAATGTACAGGAAAGAAGGAAGGAAGGAAGAGAGGGAGGAAGAGAGGGAGGGAGGGTGGAAGAGACAGAGGGAAAGTGGAAGAAAGGGAGGAAGGAAGGAAACAGGGAGGGAGTAAGAGAGTAAGAGAGAGAGCCTGAGAAAGATAGAGGTGGATTCCACACATACCAGCAAAACAAACTCATGAGGTAGAACTTTTTAGCATTTAAGCTTTGACCAGCATCCAGATGATTTTCTTTTCTTTTCTTTTTTTTTTTTGAGACACAGTCTTGGGCCATCTCCCAGGCTGGAGTGCAATGGCGCGATCTTGGCTCACTGCAACCCCCTCCTCCTGGGTTCAAGCGATTCTCCTGCCTCAGCCTCCCAAGTAGCTGGGATTACAGGTGCCTACCACCAAGCCTGGCCACCACGCCATCACTTCTCCATGTTGGCCAGCCTGGTCTCGAACTCCTGACCTCAGGTTATCCACCCGCCTCAGCCTTTCAAAGTGCTGGGATTACAGGCGTGAGCCACCGCACCCGGCCTCAAATGATTTTCAAATGTACTCAGCAATGCAAAACTATCGTCCCGAATTCTTAATTTGGTGCATTTTGCTTAAAGGAATGTAAGTTGACAAATGGTATGTGTAATTTCCCCTGTGGTTTCCCTCTTCAGAGTCTGTGCTCCCTGCATTGAATAATGAGATGTAAGTTTAGGAAATGCCTCCATGGTGTTCATTATACTTTGTGTATTTTCCCTGAGACAGGAAACAGGACTGTCTGCCAAAGAAAGCAATTTTTATAAATTCACAGCCAACGGGGAATATTCCTTTCATTTTTTTTTAGCTAAATCTGTGATTTAACAAGTGTAGAGAAGTGTTTGTCAGCAAGGAGATTGAAACCATTATGTCTTTCTCTACCTGTTGATAATGATATTGCAAGTGGGAAGTCGCAAATATATTGGCATCAATAGCAACACGGCAAGCAGATGAAGCTCCAAAACTCGTCACCCACTTTGAAGCCAAATAAAAAGCCCATTTTTCTTTCTAGTTATTAATGATGTGAAACTACAGACTGTAACTGCAAATAATCATTGGCAAGGGCAACATAAAAGTTATAAATTTAGGCTTTGAAAACAAATCAAACTTGAAGCAATCCTCTGTATTTTATTCCTAAATTAAAGATTTCCTCTTTTTTTTGAGTGAAAGAACTTATACGTAAGCATGGAAATGAGAACTAAATCATTTGCTGAAACAATTGTCTGAGAGTTACTTAATTCAAAACCACTCTTGTCATATGAAATAAAGCAGAACTTGATTAGCACGTAATAAAAGGCGATTAGTTTAACAGACAGTAAATATATTGCTAATTCCTGAAGTCTCTGGCCCCATTTTATCTTCAGAAAACTATTTCAACTGATAGCATTCTCTCCTTTCATTGAAGTCCTATAGTAATTAAAATCAGTTATTTAATTATATACTGCCTTGATATACAGAGTTCAGAGTTTGTAGGACTATTGCTAATCATCTAAATCAGGAGTTTGGTAAACTATGGCCCAAAGAATTAAACTTGGCCATAACCATTTTTTTTTCATTCTTTTTTTTTTTTTTTTTTTGAGATGGAGTCTTGCTCTGTTGCCCAGGCTGGAGTGCAGTGGTGCTATCTGGGCTCACTGCAAGCTCCGCCTCCCAGGTTCACACCATTCTCCTGCCTCAGCCTCCAGAGTAGCTGGGACTACAGGCGCCCGCCACCACGCCTGGCAAATTCTTTTGTATTTTTAGCAGAGACAGTGTTTCACGGTGTTAGCCAGGATGGTCTCGATCTCCTGACCTCATGATCCACCCACCTCGGCCTCCCAAAGTGCTGGGATTACAGGCGTGAGCCACTGCTCCCGGCCCTTGGCCATACCCATTTTTTTACATTTTATCTATGATTGCTTTCCTGTGATTGAGTTGCACAGCTGTACAGAGACATTACAGCCTCTAGAACAAAAGTAAATTTACTATCTGGCCCTTTGTTGAAATAGACCTTAAGATTGTCACGGGAAAAAATTGAATCTCCTACTCAGAGGATATTGTTTCACAAGTGCGGTCCCTAAAATGGAGCAGGGAACCCTCTTGGGGCCTGCACCCCCTCCATCCACCACCCTGCACCCCCATGCATGGAAATAAAGGAAAATATTGAGTTCCTTCAAGGGAAATTCCAGGCACCTAGCTAGCCCTGAGAAGCAAGCAACTTGATAAGCAAGAAAGTAATCACAGCTTAAAACAACAGCCAAGGAACTTCTAGCCATAAGATATTTGAAACTAAAGGCAACATTTTAACATATGTCCCTGAGTTGTTTTTCAGAAACCCAGACTCCCTACCGAGCAGATCCGCTGGCGAGTAGAACACAGATAAGGGGGAGCTGAGGACTGAACCCCGAACTCCGTTTGTCCTTGGCTCTAAATTTATTCTTGAGGGACCTGGAGGAAGCCGTGCCCACGTGCCAGAGCTAATAATCTTTTCTGCTGACCCCAAATGTTTAAACAAACTCTTTTTTCATCAATTGCAAAACAGTCTTTGAATATACCTATGACCGGTAATCTCCTACCTCAAACTATCCCACCTTTTTAGGCCAAACCAATGTATCAGTTCACAATGTTGTAACTTCTGTTTTCCTGAAATTTACCCCTGCCTTTAAAACCCTTACTTGTGGCCGGGCGCAGTGGCTGACGCCTGTAATCCCAGCACTTTGGGAGGCCGAGGCTGGCGGTTCACAAGGTCAGGAGATGGAGACCATCCTGGCTAACACGGTGAAACCCCGTCTCTACTAAAAATACAAAAAATTTGCCGGGCGGGGTGTCGGGCACCTGTAATCCCAGCTACTCGGGAGGCTGAGGCAGGAGAATGGCGTGAACCCAGGAGGCGGAGCTTGCAGTGAACCGAGATTGCGCCACTGCACTCCAGCCTGGGGGACAGAGCGAGACTCTGACTCAAAAAAAAAAAATAGGTGCTTGCGATAACTTGGAGTGCTGTTCTTACTGATGCTTACACTTTGGTAGCTCACCTCTCCTACGGGAACTGTGTTCTCAGACATGTCATGGGAAGTATGTCATCGGCACAGCTTCATTGGTAGAATTTACTAAAAATACAAGTTATCTGTATTTGCCTTATAAAGGCCTTCGTATAGTGTCCAATATTTTCTAACCAGATGTACAGTGAAAATGATTGATGCTCAAATACATTTTCATGGTCAATGCAACAACCGTTGAGCAAAAAAAATAACATTTATTGCAGACACTGGGCAGTTGTCAAACAATATTAATGTCATTAAATCAATAAATGGGCACAGAATAATGGAAGCAAGGTCGTGGATGAACAGATGGCAGTGTAATGGAGTCAATCCTTTACTGATTTAACCACTCTCCTCTTATTTCTAATGTCCCTTCCATCACGATGAGTTCTCTTTGGGATGATGTGTATCTAACTGAAGCTCCTCCTCAACAGCTGCTGAGAATTGAGTGTTGATGGTAATTATCCATATGATTTTTAATCAGACACTTTTCACAGATTCAAGTGGAATGATAACTCTATGGGAAATTGATAGGACAGCCAGAGTTATGTAAATTTTGGAAAAAAAATTAATCAACAGCTAATACAAATATTATGTCTAAAGGCTAACAACGATGATCATAATAACTCAATGGCTAATAAATAAACTAGGGAAATCCAAGCCGGAATTAGAAGTAAAAATTGGCCATTATATAATTATGACCAAGAAGTTCTTTCTTAATTAGCAAGGGGTACAGCTGTATGTTTATTTCAAAGTAATTTTTTGTTTGCAGTTACAATGTTGAATGAAAGGCTGAAACAATTCCTTCCTTAGCCCTTTCCCTTTGATGTGAAAAATTAACTCTGAGTACCCTCAGTAACTTTGAATACGCTTTTTATACCCTTAAAGACAAAAATAAAGTCATCATTTTTTCATTGACTGTAACTATTAATATATATTCATGTTACTGTAGCTTTAACTGATGACTCATTTTTAGATCATACTATCGTTGATCTATGGCAAATGCTTTTAAAACTCCTCAGAAGCTAATCATTTATGTTGAAAACTCACAAAACTGCACATAATATAATAGATAAAGGGAGGGCACAGTGAAGTTTTCATTTGACTTATCTGGGTTTTGGGATTTACCCCCTTACAGTATGTGAGCCTATGAATAAGTAGGTGAGCTTCCAGTGCTCAGAGGTTTAATGTAGAGTGTGTTTATTTTTAATATTTGTGAATTTTCTATAGAGCAGAGCTGTTTCCATTGAATTAAACCATATTTACTTCTGCTACAATATTGTAGAATGTAATTGTTCCCTTTACTATATATATATTTTTTTCTTATTTATTTATTTATTTATTTTGAAAATGAATCTTGCTCGGTCACCCAGGCTAGAGTGCAGTGGTGTGATCTCGGCTCACTGCAAACTCCACCTCCCAGGTTCAAGCAATTCTCCTGCCTCAGCCTCCAAGTAGCTGAGATTACAGGCACATGCAACCATGCCAACTAATTTTGTATTTTTAGTAGAGATGGGGTTTTGTCATGTTGGCCAGGCTGGTATCAAACTCTTGACCTCAGGTGATCCACCTGCTTCGGCCTCCCAAAGTGCTGGGATTACAGACATGAGCCACCTCACCTAGCCCCCTTTACTATATTTAAAGATGACATTGTCCTGTGATGTGTATGATGAAAAGTATATCATTGAACTCTATTCTCATATGAAAGGACATCTGATTTTCTAGAAGATTTATCTGCCCCAGGTATATTCCTGTGGGAATAATACAAACCAAATTAAAATGAAGTCTGCTTTTTTTTTTTCTATTCCTTATTGAGATTGAATTCAGAATTCCAAACAGGTTTGCTATTCATTTTCATCTTGACAAAATCAAAACCTAAATATTCTATGTGTCACCTACTGTGATGGGAAAGATAAAACTAATTATTTAATTATCAAACATGAGTAGGTGAATTATTTTTATTAATCAACATTACATAAACGTGTTTTGAGAATAAAATTTTGTATCCTCATTTTTTAACCAAAGACATAAAATATAACTGACATTCTGTAGCCAAATCAATGATATATACACCCAGATTGACCTTTAAGAGTTTAAAAATAAATGTACGCTGCATGGTCAAATGGATTTGGAGATACATAGGCTAGTAGATGAAGCACTAGGGCTTTATGAAACCTTTTTTGAGGGCCGGTGCGGTGGCTCAAGCCTATAATCCCAGCAGTTTGGGAGGCCCAAGCGGGCAGACCACTTGAGGTGAGAAGTTCGAGACTAGCTTGGCCAACGTGGCAAAACATCTTTACTAAAAATACAAAATTAGCCAGGCATGGTGGTGCACAACTGTCATCCCAGCTATTTGGGAGGCTGAGGCATGAGAATCACTTGAACACGGGAAGTGGAGACTGCAGTCAGCTGAGATTGTGCCACTGCACTGCAGCCTGGGCAACAGAGTGATACTCCACCTCAAAAAAAAAAAAAAGGTTTTTTTTTTGAGTTAGTGATACATGTTAATAAATTAATCCAGAGATTAAAAAACCACTTTTACTTTCCATGTTAAAAAAAATCAGCATACTTTCCAACTATAACCTAAAAATCTACAAAAAACTTTCCAAATTCTCAGTAAAGGAAGTATTGCAATCCACAGGAGATTATTGCTTTGTTCTAAAGACAGTTGAAACATTTTCGAATCTCTGACATTTTTTAGATCACCCTTTGCAGGGTGTGGTTCACGGAACACTTTTTTTCCTGATCATATGACATTGCCTACATAATTTTGTGATTAAATGACTTTGGAAAATCAGGATTGAGTCAAGTAAACATTCCTATCAGAACTAAATATGTTAATGTATGGTGTCCCCAAGGGGTGTGATATGCAGCATTAACTCTTAAATGTAGATAATCATGGGACTTTTATAAGCAGATACACTTTGTGAATTACTACTTTAAATATTGGTAGTAATAGATTGCTTAATCGAACTTAAATTTAAAGAGATGATGTTGGACTTCTAGTGAATGGAAGCCAAGTATTTCTATTTACTAGAAAAATGTACATGATCTATTATCCACAGTGAACTAGCAAACCTTCCATCTTGATATTTAGTTTTCATATTAATTGTATTATATTTCATCAGCTTACATTTTTTACTCACTAGGGCATACTTTTATTTTTTTCATTGCAATAGCTTATTCAATATCTGCCTATTCATATATTAAGTAATAACTTTTTTTTAACCTGCATCTCACACAGAGAAATCATGAGGAAATCTCCACTCATTCTGGTCAGCATCACAGTTGCAGTATGTTGCAGGATTCCTGGGAGTCGATGTGATTTTTTCTAATACACACATATGTTTCTCAACATTGGGCAAATAACCTCTCCGGTAACTGTGCGCTTCGCTGGTTCTTCCTACCTACCAGCTCAACAGGGTATCATCTGAAAAAAGAATATGAGAAAGGCGAGTCCTATTTAGCCCAACTACTCACCCTCTAATGCGGTTCCGCTTCCGCTCAGATAATGACGTAAAAACAGTTTTTTGGTGTGTGTGGGTTTTTTTTTTTTTGGGGGGGTGGTGGCAGAGTCTTGCTCTGTTGCCCAGGCTGGAGTGCAGTGGCGTGATCTCGGCTCACTGCAAGCTCCGCCTCCTGGGTTCACGCCATTCTCCTGCCTCAGCCTCCCGAGTAGCTGGGACTACAGGCACCCGCCACCACGCCCGGCTAGCTTTTTGTATTTTTAGTAGAGACGGGGTTTCACCGTGTTCGCCAGGATGGTCTCGATCTCCTGACCTTGTGATCTGCCCGCCTCGGCCTCCCAAAGTGCTGGGATTACAGGTGTGAGCCACTGCACCCAGCCGAAAGAAACAGCTTTAAGAAAATAACAATCCAAACCCTGCAACAGAACATTTCTTTAAGAATACTAACCAGCTTTTTTTTTTTTTTAATTAAAAAAATATTTACGGCTGGGCGCGGTGGCTCATGCCTGTAATCCCAGCACTTTGGGAGGCTGAGGCGGGCGGATCACGAGGTCAGGAGATCAAGACCATCCTGGCCAACACGGTGAAACCCTGTCTCTGCTGAAAATACAAAAAAATTAGCCGGGCATGGTCGTGGGCTCATGTAGTCCCAGTTCACGGGAGGCTGAGGCAGGAGAATGGTGTGAACTCAGGAGGCGGAGCTTACAGTGAACCGAGATGGCGCCACTGCACTCCAGCCTGGGGGACAGAGCGAGACTCTGTCTCAAAAAAACATAAAATAAAATAAAGAGCCTTTAATATGTTCAGTAATTACACAAAATTAATTATCTTGAGCAGACCAGTTACATAATTTCTTTTGTTTTTGTTTTCTCTTTCTTTCTTTCTTTTTTTTTACACAGAGTCTTGCTTTGTCACCCAGGCTGGAGTGCGGTGGCCTGATCTTGGCTCGCTGCAGCCTCTGCCACCTGAATTCAAGCGATTCTCCTGTCTCACTCTCCAAGTAGCTAGTACTACAGGTGCATTCCACCCCACCTGGCTAATTTTGTGTTTTTAGTAGAGACGGGATGTCACCATGTTGGCCAGGCTGATCTTGAACTCCTAACCTCTGGTGATCCTCCTGCCTTGGCCTCCCAAAATGCTGGGATTACAGGCATAAGCCATCACGCCCTGCCCTGTAATTTCTTGAAAACAATTTTCAAAGATTGTTTTCATAAAAATAAGTAGCAGCTATGTAGAGATTGAAGCTAAAATCTGTTTGAGACAATGGAGTGCCTATCTAAAACCCTAATGTCATGAGGAGATATGATTTGTTATTGCATTTATTAGATAAAACCCCCAGCTGCATATTAAACATTTAGCGTGACATGGTTCTACTTCTTTGTATTATCGGAGCTCAGAGCACAGTACCCCAAAGTATGGTGCCTTGGCATGTGTGGATTGTTGCACTAAAGGAGACAGGAGGGTTTTAGAAGCAAGTAGTTCTCTTTGGCCTTCTCCCATCCTTCTGTCTCCTGAAACAAGCCATAAAATCTAGAAAGCTTATCTTTTACCTACCTCCCCTGAGAGCTCATAAGACCCTCATTCCAGAGGAGTCCTGCCCCTTACCTGGAGAAAGGAATGCTACACATGAAACCGTCATTGCAAAATTATAACTGAGGCAGTGAAAGAGATCTGACCTAACCAACTCCATCTTGCTTCTAACTTCCAAGCTGTCCTTCGTCATTCCTTGGCGTAGGCTGAACTAACTTTGGAAGGAACTTAGTTTATAATTTATAGATTAAAATGAACATAATGACAGCTCTTTCCCAAAACAAATCCCTTTCTTGCTTAGGGACTAGACTGCCTTTGTAGGACTAACAAACTAGTCACAAGATTAGAAATTATGGTTTAGGAGTCATGCAGCTGGAGGCTACGAGGTTCTTTCCAGATTGCTCCAGGGGATAACATCACTACTGTAAAGCCTAAGACCAGCTCTTGAGATATTTTGCAGACGCTGCACTTGATGGATCAGCAGCCATCACCCCGATCGATAAACTGGCTCATCTGATATTGTGGCCCCACTCAGGAACTGACTCAGCACAAGAGGACAGCTTTGACTCCCTATGACCTGACCAATCAGCACACCCAACTCACTGCCCCCCACCAGTTCACAAATTATCCTTAAAAACTCTGATCCCCAAATGCTCCAGGAGACTAATTTGAACAATAATAAAACTTCAGTCTCCCACACAGCTGGTTCTGTGTGTATTACACTTTCTCTGTTGCAATTCCCCTGTCTTGATAAATCAGCTCTGTCTAGGCAGGGGGCTAGATGAACCCATTGGGCGGTTACACACAGAGAGACCAAGAAGAATCAGAACAAACAGGCCTTGCTGGGCTCTGCTCAGTTTATTACCATTAGATCATATCCCTTTTGTCCAGTTACGTTGCTCCACAACTATTCACTTCTTTCATCAGATTTAACATAAAAATACAGTTTCCCCCTGGGTGTTTGGGTCTTCATTTCTGAAGCCTCCTGTGTCAAGCAAAACTTTGATTAAATACCTTTGTTATGCTTTTCTCTTGTTAACCTGTCTTTTGTTATGGGGGTTTTGGGCTGTAAACCTTGTGGCGGGTGAAGAAAAGATAGGACTTTTCTCCCCTAGAGTATTTTAAAAGTCTTGTGGAGGCCTGTGCTTATGTCAAAGATGTCTGGAGGCATGGCTTGACTGTTCATTCAAAGACAAAGAAACAACACTCATGGACTTTCCTGCCTGGAGGAAATGTCACCCTTGGCCACACAGCTTCTCAGAGCAACGTTCACGTCCACCAGCGGCACTGATAACTGACTCCTCAGCACTGTCCAGCGAATGCTGCATGGAGGCTCGCAGGCACCCCAGCTTAAAAAGGAGGAGGAGAAGGTAAATACCTACCTAGTACACAGGAAATCAAAGAGCAAATCTTAAGAAGTGGGCTTAGACTCATCAACCCCTCAAAAATACTCAGCCACTTTTATGTTTTCTTCCCCAACCCCAAGCTCTCATCCTGAGGTCCTGACTGAATCTGGAGCGTGCTTCAGTATCTCCCTAATTTATAAGCGCCACTGCTCATTAAGGCTCCCTGTTAGATGAGACCTCTGCTGCAACAGCCTCTCTGCTTGTAAACATCACTGCATATATCACCACCCACCCCAGCCCAGCAGGGAAAGGAAAACAACAACAACAAATAAAATGCAATTCTAGGAATAGTGAGATATGCAAGAAGGCATCAGTATTAAACTTTCTGTTTTGTTTTGTTTGAGACTGAGTTTTGCTCTTGTTGCCCAGGCTGGAGTGCAATGGTACGATCTCCGCTCACTGCAACCTCTGCCTCCCGGGTTCAAGCGATTCTCCTGCCTCAGCCTCCGAAGTAGCTGGGATTACAGGCGTGTGCCACCATGCCTGGCTAATTTTTTTTTTTTTTTTTTTTTAGAAGAGATGGGGTTTCACCATGTTGGTGAATACAACTCCTGACCTCAAGTGATCCACTCATCTTGGCCTCCCAAAGTACTGAGGTTACAGGTGTGAGCCATCGCACCCGGCCAGTATTAAACATTTTTTTAAAAATTATGTTGAAACTTAAAACTAGGTAGTAGAAAGTACGTAAAACAATTAATAGATGGTTTTCAAATACCACTTCCAACTTAATTACTAGTCATTATATTTTCTCTTCAGATTGAAGAGCCAAGACATCATTACACCTAAATGCAAAACTGTGTGTTTACATCCAAATCTCTCATCTGTCTTATAAAATAGGAAATAAAATTTTAAAGGTACCAAATGTGTTTAGAACCATTGAAGATAGTTTAAATATTGTTAAACATTTAGGGGACTATAAGAAAAAGTTTGTTTTTTTTTTTTTAAATGAGATGGAGTCTTGCTCTGTCACCGAGGCTGGAGTGCAGTGGCGCGATCTCTGCGCACTGCAAGCTCCGCCTCCCGGGTTCACGCCATTCTCCTGCCTCAGCCTCCGGAGTAGCTGGGACTACAGGCGCCCGCCACCACGCACAGCTAATTTTTTTGTATTTTCAGTAGAGACGGGGTTTCACTGTGTTAGCCAGGACGGTCTCGATTTCCTGACCTCGTGATCCGCCCGCCTCGGCCTCCCAAAGTGCTGGGATTAAGGCGTGAGCTACCGCGCCCGGCCAAGAAAAAGTTTTTTTAAAATTAGTGAAAATATTAGACTCTGAAGAATAGAAATAATAAATAAGAAAAATGTAAATGACCTTCTCAACAATTTTAGCCACTGACTCCCATCCTCCTCTGTGCCCTCAAATTCAATTTTCAGTGACTTTCGCAGGCCAAGAGTCATCATTCCCGTTGCTGACAGCTCAGCTCCTCAGCTTGGGAGTATCCATTTTTGGACATGCATTTTTTATTGTACTTGCTTTTTTAACAACTCACATTCATGGTTTCATTTTAGAATATCCATGGTGTAAATAACACATTACTTCGTGCAATGGAGACAATATTGCTTGATTGATTCTGTATTACTCAAAAAAAAAAAAAAAGGCGAGAAAAGAACTTTTATCTGAGGAATGTGAGTCCTTTTAAATAATGAGGCCCAGAGAGACATTAAAATGAGGCAGCAGTCAAGTCCTACTCCCCGCTTTGAGCTAGGTATTCATCTCCTGAAACTGCTTATTGCCACAAGTAGCTATAAATTAACCTAATAATGTCAGAGCAAACGCTATAACCCACACCCTGTAGCTTAACAATGTATAGCCAATCACTAATCAATGTTATTTCTATAAATCAATAAGAATGCCTGACAAACAACTTTGTATCAGCCATGCCTTCTCCCCCTTTTTTGCCTTTAAAAATCTGTTTGTAACAAAGGCCAAACTCATATCCAAGGTTACACGGGTCCGAGTCCTCCTGACAGCTGTCTTCACTTTGGCTCAGTAAACTCTTTAAATTACAGAGTTTGTGTCTCAGCCTCTTCCTTTTAGGTCGACAAAATGATAGAGCTTTGGAGGTCAATATTTATCAAAACTGCCATCTTTGGGAAATCTTCTGCATATAAGAGCTGGATGTAATTGAGACAGATGCTGCTTTATTCCACAGCACTGCAAAATATTACCCTCCCTTTCAACTCTACCCCAATCGAAAGCTTCTGGAAATACTAAGTCTCTCGTGGATATTTGTGTACATTAACTTTTAAAAGAAATTCTCGAATGGCAGCTTTGCTGTGGCAGCTGTCAGGCATGCATATGAGGAAATGTGTTGTAAGTGCACAGATAAGGAATTACCTGATGTTTCTGTAGACAGATTTTCAAACTCATAATTCTTTTCATGTTCATCATCTTCTCCCCAAATTAAAAAAAATTATCGTCTATATATTTATCTTTTCAGCTAGGGTTTTCCTCATCTCTATATGCATTTCTCTCATTTTCAAATATATTTTTAGGACACGCATGTTCAGATCATGTGGACTACAAGTTATCATAACTTTTGTTAAATAAAAATATATTATCCAGTATCAGCTCCTCAAACAAAATGACTTTGGGTCCATAATGGCTACTGAAATGTCAACTGACAAAAATTCAAATATATTTCTGGCACATCGTTTATTTACTTCTTTTGTATTTAAAAATGAAATACAACCTGCCCAATCGTGTAACAGGCAAAAGCATTCTTAGATCTTTTACCCCTCTAAGACCAAATGCCCAACTGGAGCATTTATGCTGTTTGTACAGCATTGCCCAGCTGCAGAGAAGCCCAAGGCTCAGAGGGTAAGAAGTGACTGGAAGTTGTCTTGCTACGTATGTGGTGCAGGTTCTTTAACTTTCATAAAAATATATTTGATAAGATGGTCAATTTGCATGAGTATTTACCCAATCAGAGGGTGCAGAGAACAGTTATATGGAGATTTTTTTTTAAGCTATTACATTTACATCATTTAGAAATCAAAACGAGATAAGTTACCTACCAAGGGTACCTTCCCCATTTCTACTCCCATCATAGGGAGCTGAGAATGGCCTGACTAATAAATTTGCATTAGAATTAACAACCACAGGGATGGCATACTTTACAACAACAACCCAGGGACAAGGAAAGGGGAGAGGATGTTACCAAGCCTAGGGAAACAACTCAGGCTCATGGTGAACAGGGAGGGAAACTGATAGTGTCTAACTAACACAATTTTAAATTCAGTAAGAAAATGGTTTGTTAGATCATGTAGCTCACTTACTCGCCATTGAAAAATGCTGTGAGTGTTTCCATGGAAATCTGAATTCAAAAGATCTTTCCTTTAATCATATTCTGAGATTTACACGGAAAATATCTAAAATAGGCTTTTTTTTTCCTTGAACATTACCTACTCTATATTCACCCTCAGGGTTTTTTCTCTCAAATGAATCAAATATAAAGAGAACCTTGTAGAATACTGAGTTGGGTTGTGGAGTTGACTTATCAAGTGCTATTTTTCTCATTCTCATCACAGCTCATAGCGTGTTGGGAAAAAAAATGATGCCTGAATAGCTCATATGGGCAGGTGGTCAGTATAATTGATTTCCAGTTATGTATGGTTAAAATTTAATAATAGAAAAAACATCCTCCGTAAAGGGAAGTATTGAGAATACATCTATAAAATGTTTTCTTAAGAGTAGAATAAGTTAATCTGTGGATAATAGGTGTGTGTGTGTGTGTGTGTGAGAATAATCCCTCTAAGTCACAGATTTTTACAATACTAATATTTGAAACACCCAAGCAAGGGCACAGACAATTATGTTATGTTTCCCTAATTGTCCATAGCTTATCTTCAAAGAATGAAAGAATGTTAGAGATGGGGGGAAGAAACAGCCTAAGGAATTATAAGTAACCTGCAAAACAGAAAAGTATATAGCTGATGTTCACCACCTTTGAATCATGAATAGACTTGGGAGACTAATTTTAAGAATGGCAAAATGTTGAGACAGTTTCTGTGATGTGGTTGAGTAAGACACTTCAGAACGTGTTTGCTCTGACTCACTGGAGCTTGTCTGGCATCAAAAAGGGTGATTCTTAATTGACCCTTTGTCCACCCTGTCAAGAGCGGTCAAAAGAACACACAATTTAGCAGGTTAAACTATTTTAATTTCATTATTTAATGGGATTTCACAGTATAAATAATAAAATTTACTAGATGTCATATGAAACCCCATGTTTCAGTTCATTTGCCATATTACAGCAATTTTGCAATATTGCAACTTTTTCCTAGATTTTATAATTTCCTATAAAATGTCTTCTATAATCCATCTATGTGATTTCTAAGGGAAAAAGTGATCTTATGTAAAAGGAAAATAAACTTGGATTTTCACATTAGATAGGAATGTACTCATTCCCACGTCTCCTGGAGGAAAAAAATAAAGACCCTGTCAAGAAAACATTGACAGTACTATAATTAGTGAGTCCATCATTCATGATTTGGAAATTGACCTATAAGAAAGTGGAGAAAAAACCCCCTGTCTCACAGAAGGCAAAAATCATTTCCATTTATGTCAAAATACCATCCTTTAAGAAGAAATGGAGGGCACTGATTCTGATGAGAAAGGGGAATGCAAGTCATGAAGGAATTGTGAAATAAACACACAGAGAGGATCTATCCTGTCATTTTATCTCTAAATAAAGAACTGATCCATGTCTTGGACTCATGTTGATGAGTAGTGAGGGATGGATGTAACACTAGCATCTGTGCCCAGATACACGAGGATAAACGACGTGCTACTTCATGACTCTGAGGATTTGCTGCCAAGACGGATATTTAAAGTGCAGAAATTCTTCCACAATATTGCTGCCCTTACAGAGACAGGGCATTGGTTAGGCCCTGTATTTTATCCAGGCTAACCCCCTCATCATACAGATGAGGAAAATGAGTCCTGGAAAAATTATTATGACAGAACTGGTGAACTCTGACGCTTCGGGTTTTGAACTTGGCTAAATTCTTAGATTTTGCCCAAGAACACACTCTAGGGTTTCTCACTGTAGTTTGACTGTTTTGTTCTGAGGATTTTGGAAATAGTATCTCCTGACAGGATTTCTGTGTTTTTTGCTGCTCCACTGGCTCTGAAATTTCTGAACATGCCCTATGCAGTTTCAACATTCTTCTGTAATCTCTGCTGAAACATTTTTGTATCTATATTTTATATCGATACTTTCAGTGTGTGTGTGTGTGTGTGTGTGTGTGTGTGTGTGTATGTATGTTCTAGGACCCACTTGAGGAAGATTACCTAGTCAAAGTTCATATAAATGCTGCATATTGTTAGGTATTGAATAAGTATTTGGTATCTCTTTATGTTATGAAGAAGTAAAGAGTGTATCCGCGTTTAAATATGAAGACAGGGTTACAGTGGAAGCATGATGCTATCATCTAGTGACACTCATCTTGCAGTATCATATTTTTACTAGTTAAGTGTTCTTTATTTTAAGTAGGAGGTACAGGATTCTGAAGCATAGTGTAAAAGATTGGAAAAGGTTTCACAGGGAAACCTGTGGGTATGAATCATACATGCTGTGGAAACCAAGGATCTTCTCAAAGTCATAGTTACTGGACTTCAAATGAAGCCCTGTGATTAAAGAAGCAAGTCAGCTTAGTAATAGCCAATATTGACTGAAAATCTGAAGGGCATTTGTTTAACCTCCTTAAATAGTTGTTATCCAACAAATCTGCTAAAAAATAGTTTTCAATTATTTAATACTTACTGTCTTTGTTCACTTAAACACAACTTGCAAATAAGAAGTAGTTATTGCAAAAGGTAGAAATGATCATCCAATGTGCAATTCCTTGTCATGAAAACCCTCCAAGGCTGGTTTAAAACAGAAACTTCCTTAAATGTTCTGCAAATAAAAATTCAAGATAATTAAAATCCAGAACAAAGGAGAAAATATTTACATAAAACACACTTCTACAGTATTTTAATTTATTCTGAATCATCATTGAATAGAATATTTTAATTTGTTCAAGTAAATATTTTACTGTGTTCATGATAGGGGCTTAGTATCTGCAAGTGATGGGCCTTGTTAATCTTCAGAATAAGTTTAAATGACAGCTCAGCAGGGCAGCATCTCCCATGCAGCAGCCCCTGTGGAGCAGCAGGAAGGAAGGCTCCGGAGGAAGCCGCAGGAAGCCGATGGCTCCTGTGAGAAACTGCCTGACTGATGCTGTCACGGTGTTGACTCTCTCCCTAAGAGCCCTGAGATCACACTCGCCCTTTTTACATCACCCAACAGGGCTGACTTAACATCCAGGGAGGACAAATAAAGGGGAAGAATAAAATAATCCAACAAAGCCAGGACAGAATGCACTCATGTCATTAATGGAGCTACATTCTTACTTTGAATGAATTACCTACATTATGTTACCTTCCTAAAGACTTACTGAAAAAAAGGTGTTCAAGGAACTAAGGGAAACCCAGGGTGGCACTTGAGGTTGCGGGTCACAGACCACACTCTGCGTAGCCCTGAGGCTGGGTGCAGGGCCAGGCTGCCTGTGTGCAGATCTCCTGGCCGTGTGTTAGAGGTTGAACCATGCATCTCTCAGAATTCAAATGTTGAATTTTTATTTTATTTTTATTTATTTAGTTTTTTTGAGACAGAGTCTCACTCTGTCACCCAGACTGGAGTGCAGTGGCCCTATCTCAGCTCACTGCAACTTCCAACTGCTGGGTTGAAGTGATTCTCCTGCCTCAGCCTCCTGAGTAGCTGGGATTACAGGCGCCTGACACCATGCCCAGCTAATTTTTGTACCTTTAGTAGAGATGGGTTTTTGCCATGTTTGTCAGGCTTGTCTCAAACTCCTGACCTCAGGTGATCCGCCTGCCTCAGCCTCCCAAAGTGCTAGGATTACAGGTGTGAGCCACCATGCCCAGCCCATATGTTGAATTTTTAAACACTGAGTACTGCAGAACCCAGGAATTATTTGGATTTAGGGTCTTTACATGGGAGTTAAAATGAGGTTGTTGCGAAGGGACCCTAATCCAATTTGACTAATATCCTTGTAAAAAGGGAAATTTGGAGACAGACACACGTAGAGGGAAGATGATGTGAAGAGATCAAAGAAGAAGACAGGTGTCTACAAAACCAGGAAAGAGGCCTGGAATAGATGCTTCGTTCATAGCCTTCAGAAGGAGCCAACCCTGCTGGCACCTTAGTGTTAGACTTCTATCCTCCAGAACTATCAGACAAAAAATGCCCATTGTTTAAGTCACCCAGTGTGTGGCTCTTTGTTATGATGTCTCTAGCAAACTAATATACCTTGTGACTTTGGCAGTTCTGTCTTCCTGCCTCTGTAAAATGCAAATATTACTGATATATTGCCTCCTAGGGCTTCTGTGAAGAGGCGATGAGTTAATACATGCAAAGTGCTACAATAGTGCAGACATAATATTAATACTCAGTAAATGTTAAGATGATTATTAACATCAACATCATCATCACCACTGTATAAAAAAAAGAAAATTGGGGCTGATATCTGATCTCTACAACTTTACCGTGCAGCATCCCTGTCCATTGCTTTTTCTAAATTCTATTATTAACCTTGAGTGTCTTGTAATTGATCATGTTTCAACCTTTCTTTGACAGCAAGTACTCTCAGAAATAAAAGTATTACTCGGACCAAGCAATTGAACAACATATTCATGCATTTATGTTCATGTAGAAATACCAATTATACACGTTTTATTTTATTTTATTCATGACTCTATTTTGTATCTTATACTTATTTCCCCATTGAAATGAGGTGAATTAAAAATAAAAACTTTATAAATTAATTAGCTGCAAAAATACTTATTTTTGTTTGTTTTTCCAAATGGTTGCAACTTACATAGTGTAAAATACAATTCATGAAAGTGGAAAGATGCAGAAATCAGAATGGAAATGAGAACCAGCAACCTGAGAGTCCCACAGAAATATTCAGTCACATCTGTGTAACCAGGGGCTGTACAGTCTTAGGTGGAGGTATTCCAGATTTTTGTTTCTTAGTTTCTGTCAGATGTAAAATGTGTATGTGGAACTATTGTGCACTTTCTTTGTTTGGTAGAGACAGTCTCTCTGTGTTGCCCAGGCTAGTCTCAAATTCCTGGCCTCAAGTGATCCTCCCACCTCAGCCTCTCAAAGTGTTGGTACTACAGGTGTGAGCCACCATCCCCAGCCTACTGTGCATTTTCTATTATTTGAAGCAAAATTGGGGCCACAAAGAAGGTCATCTGTAGTATGCCAATAACATAAACCTCTGACATTTCAGTAAAATATTGCCTTTGCCTCTGCATAGTATGCCAGCATGTTCTGCAGGGTGGGCAGCCGCAAGCAGTGGTTAGAACAGGGGCTCTAGAACCAGGGCCTGAACCTGAGGCTGTGCTCTGCTCTCCTTAATAGTGAAATCAGAGGCAAGTTGCTTGACCTTTCTGCTTTGTGTTTCTGCTTTTGCCAGATGCACAATATCTGGTTTGTGGAGTTTTTTGAGGACCAAGGGAGATAGTGATTCCTATCAAATGTTTACCAGAGCCTCTGATAATCTGGGTTTTCTTCCTCCACTTCCTTCCCCTCCTTCCTTCTTCAAGATGATTCTATTTAATGGCATGTTGGAAATCATGTCAGCAGTCATGACATGCCAAGGTAAAATGAAACTTTTTTCCTTAAAAGTAGGAGAATGAGGTAAGAGATGATTTTAGAAGTTAAAGCCTACCCAAACATAAAAGGATATGATTTGTGTCACTGTCATCTAAAGTGTCTACTGCTACATTTTCCATGGGGCTGAAGTTTTGATTAAAAAGAATAATGTCGTATCCCAGGTGTATCCCTAAATTGGTAACTACTTCCGAAAGTCTTTTTTAAGCTTGTACTTAAATGACTTTTTTTTAAGGATAATAGTTTTGTATTATAAAAGATAAATGCACAAAGCAGCTACATGTAAAATGCCACTTTAGGACACGCTGTTCTAACACAAATACTGTCAACATATCATTTGTGAGTGAACTGACAAGATGTCCAAGGAATGAGTTACAGTGGAGAAAATTCAACGTGCATCACAGAATAGTTACCAGCTCCTGGCCCTCCACAGATGTGGACCTAAAACCACCTGGAGGGCAGAGTCGGCTCCCTCCCGCTGTGAGTGCTTCCTAGTGAGCCAGCAGCTGAAGGCCTCCCTAGCTTCACTTCTCCAGAGCGGGCATGGAGATAACTAGTGAAAGTGGTCACAAAGTCGGGGCCAAGAAGTCTCTAACCCCTAAATCAAGATTGAGAGATACTGGACCGGGCACAGTGTCTCACACCTGTAATCCCAGCACTTTGGGAGGCCTAGGCAGGCGGATCACCTGAGGTCAGGAATTCAAGACCACGCCTGGCCAACATGGTGAAACCCAGTCTCTACTAGAAAATACAAACAAATTTAGCTGGGTGTGGTGGCAGGCTCCTGTAATCCCAGCTACTCTAGAGGCTGAAGCAGGAAGAATTGCTTGAGCCCCGGAGGTGGAGGTTGCAGTGAACCCGGATCGTGCCACTGCACCCCAGACTGGGCAACAGAGCGAGACTCAGTCTCAAAAAAAAAAAAAAAGAAAAAGAAAAAGAAAAAAAGATTGAGAGATACTGGAGAAATTCTTCCTTTATGCATCCCTCATCCTTGCATCAATTTTTTCCTACAAATCAATGGAGTGTACACATATGGGGCATTATTTCACGTTAAAGGAACTAAGTCCATATACATGATTTGTTTTTTGAGAGGTGAGGTCTCACTTTGTTGCCAAGGCTGGAGTGTAGTGGTGTGATCAGACCTCACTGCGGCCTACACCTCCCAGGTTCAGATGATCCTCCCACCTCAGCCACCCTAGTAATTGGGACCACAGGCGTGCCACTGTGCCTGGCAAATTTTTACATTTTTTTGTAGAAATGTTGTCCAGGTTGGTTTTGAACTCCTGGGCTCAAGTGATCCTCTCCCCTTGAGCTCCCGATGTGCAAGGATTACAGCTGTGAGCCACTGGGCTTGGCCAAGTAGAAATTATATCCTGCTACTAGTTGACCAAACATGATTCATAAACTATAACTAGTATGGCCGCCATTAATCTAAAAATTAATTTTTAGATTAATGTTTATTGACAGTATCTACTCTATAAAGTAAAAAAATAAAATATGCTTTTATGATGTGGACCATAGTATCCATAAGATTGCTTTTCTGTTTGAATTGGCTATAAAAATGGAAAAAGTATCATTTTGTAACTGTGTGGCATTTGTTCATTTATTCAACAATAATACCAGAGTGGAAAGCAACAAGTTAGGTGTGACATAATATAGAAATGGTTTTGTTTTGTTTGTTTGTTCTACATATATTATTAGTAAGGTTTCTCTAGAGTACTGTCTCTCTCTATCTCTCTTTCTATCTCTGTCTACACATAGACACACACACACACACACACACACACAGATGTTCCTCAACTTACAATGGGGTTATGTCACAATAAACCCATCATAAGTTTGTTACAGGAAAGAGGTCCAGATCCAGACCCCAAGAGAGGGTTCTTGGATCTTGTGCAAGAAAGAATTCAGGGCGAGTTCACAGTGCAAAGTGAAAGTAAGTTTATTAAGAAAGTAAAGGAATAAAAGAATGGTTACTCCATAGAAAGAGCAGCCCCAAGGGCTGCTGATTGCGCCTTTTTTTTTTTTTTTTTTTTTGAGATGGAGTCTTGCTCTGTTGCCCAGCCTGAAGTGCAGTGGCACTATCTAGGCTCACTGCAACCTCCCCTTCCAGGGCTCAAGTGATTCTCCTGCCTCAGCCTCCTGAGCAGCTGGGATTACAGGCGTGCACCACCAGGCCTGGCTAATTTTTGTATTTTTAGTAGAGACAGGGTTTCACCATATTGGTCAGGCTGGTCTCAAACTCCCGACCTTGTGATCCACCCGCCTCGGCCTCCGAAAGTGCTGGGATTACAGGCGTGAGCCACCACACCCGGCCGGTTGCCCATTTTTATGGTTATTTCTTGAGATTTGCCAAACAAGGGGTGGATTATTCATCCCTCCCCTTTTAGACCATATAGGGCAACTTTCTGACGTTGCCATGGCATCTGTAAACTGTCATGGTGCTGGTGGGAGAGTAGCAGTGAGGACAACCAGAGTCACTCTCATCACCATTTTGGTTTGGGTGGGTTTTGGCTGGTTGCTTTACTGCAACCTGTTTTATCAGCAAGGTCTTTATGATCTGTATTTTGTGCTGACCTCCTATCTCATTCTATGACTTAGAATGCCTTAACCATCTGGGAATGCAGCCCAGGAGATTTCAGCCTCATTTTACCCAGCTCCTATTTAAGATGGAGTTGCTCTGGTTCACTTGTCTCTGACAAGTTGAAAATGCATTTAATACACCTAACCTACTGGACCTCATAGCTTAGCTTAGCCTACCTTAAATGTGCTCAGAACACTTACATTAGCATACATTTAGCCTACGGTTGGGCCAAATCATCTAACACAAAGCCTATTTTATAATGAAGTGTTGAATATTTAATGTAACTTATTAAATACTATGTTGAAAGTAAAAAACAAAATGCAATCTTTATTATTTTAGCTAAAGTAATTGTCAATTTATTAAATAAAAACAAAACAGCCCACACCATCATTAGCTGAAAAATCGTTTTGAACCATTGTAAGTTGGGGACTGTCTAAAGAATTGTGAATTGGCTCAAGTAATGACAGAAGCTGATTAGTATGGAAATTTGAAGTCAGCAAGTTGGAGACCCAGCAGAGGTAAGGTATAGTCCAAAAGCTTGCAGCCTTGAGGCTCAAGAAGAGCCAATGTTTTCATTCATTTAAGAAGGTAGGAAAAGACCAATGTCCCAGTTCACACAGTCAGGCAAAAGGAGCTCCCCAGTACTCATGGGAGGGTCAGCTGTTTCGTTCTATTCAGGCCTCCCACCAAGAGGATGAGGTCCATCCATACTGGGGAGTGCAGTGGGCTTCACTCAGCTAGAGATTCAAATGTTAATCTCATTCAGAAAACACCCTCACAGACACACAGAATAATGTTTGACCAAATATCTGAGTCACCCTGTGGCCCAGTCAAACTGATAGTTTTTCCTTAGGTTATCTCCAGTGTCATTTAAATATTAATATTTATAGTATATTATTGATGTAAATATTAACATTTATTACCCAGGGGTTGTGTTCTCTTGATAATGTTCTATTTTTTTAATCTCTGTGAAAAAATGTTTTATGAAGTGTGGAATTTATCTACTACACTGACATATTCTGCATTAATCTTTCTCTATTTTGTGGTTGTCAATCACTGGTACAGTTTCAGAGAGCAGGAAATAAAGATTCAGCCTTTAACTCCTACACAATCCACAGTGTTTTTTTCCCCTCAGAACTGTCATAAAACTGTTGTATTTTATTTAGATTTTTAAATTAACAACTAAAGCCATATTCTAGTAATACTTTAATAATCTAGATTTCCTATTTTTAGAGTAGAAGGCTGCATCATATTTAAAATCACTGCAGAGACTTTGAGGTTTTCAAATTAATATCATATTAAAATTTTTTGCACTCTGAAGGCTTTCATTTATTGCTTTAAAAAAATGTTGAAACTCAGAGTTCAAATGATTTTAAAAACTCTACATCTAGATACAGTTAATGTAAACTTTGTATATCTCTGTAATGACTTTCACTGCCCCTCATTATCAATCAAGAGCATTGAGATAAGGACTGGAAAATATTAAATATATATGTTAATATTTATATAAACATATTAAATGTGTGTGTGTGTCACACATACACACACAGAACAAGAGAAAGAGCAAGAGAGGGACAGTAACTGTCTTCAGAATATCAAAAGTTCTGCTAATCGGCTCTTTTGCAGAAGCTTGTCCTCACTCTCCGCATAGGGGAAAGAGAATGAGCTTTAAGACAGAACTTCCTGCTGAATTAATTAAATATATCCATTACTACTGACAGAAACAGTGAGGTTAAGCCCCTCTGAAGATGACAAGATAAATTGTCACTATTATGGCACTAGAAATGAGATACTGGGATACGATTTCATTACCGTATTATCATAGGTTTACTTAATTGGCAAAGTTTCACTTAAGAAGGATGCAGAAATTCTGAACACAAGTTAGCATTTCTAGCACGATGGTACAAGATGTGTTATTGAATAAGTCAAAGATGCCATAAACGCAAATTTCAAGGAATGGCGTAAGGCCGGGGTGGTGGCTCACACCTGTAACCCTAGCACTTTGGGAAGCTGAGGCAGGTGGATCACCTAAGGTCAGAAGTTCGAGACCAGCCTGACTAACGTGGTGAAACCCCGTCTCTACTAAAAATACAAAATTAGCTGGGCCTGGTGGTGGGTGCCTGTAGTCCCAGCTACAAGGGAGGCTGAGGCAGGAGAATCACTTGAACCCGGGAGGCAGAGGTTACAGTGAGCCAAGATCGCACCACTGCACTCCAGCCTGAGCAACAAGAGTGAGACTCTGTCTAAATAAATAAATAAGTATAAAAGGATGGCAGGAATGCAAAACTCGGTGCACAGTGCGCTGCAGTGCTGCCTGCTGTCTGATGGAAACATCACAAAGACACAAGCACAGACTAAGAAAAAAAGTTTTAAAAGTCAAAGGGATAGGTAAGTAAAAAATTGAATGCAATATGTAGGAAATGCTGCTTTCTTATTTTTATTTTTATTATTTATTTATTTATTTATTTATTTTTGAGACAGAGTCTCTCTCTGTCGCCCAGGCCGGAGTGCAGTGGTGCGATCTTGGCTCACTGCAAGCTCTGCCTCCCGGGTTCACACCATTCTCCTCCCTCAGCCTCCCAGAAATGCTGCTTTTTAAAAGTGGCCACTCTTATGCTAATAAAGTCATCCATGAGACAAGAACGTGCTTAAAATATAATAGCGCATACTGAAAGCAATACTGCTTTGTCCAAGTCAGTCCCATTAGTCCTGGCATGATTTCTGTAGCACTCCTTTCAAATAAAGAATGTCCCAATTTGAATGAAGAAAACTATATAATCATCCTAATCATGATAGCAAGATTAAGTCATCATTTGTAGTAAAATCTTACAACAGATTGTGACTGGCTGTGTAGTGACAAAATAATTGGAAAGTGGCAAATAAAACTGGTCATAGAGGGTCTTAGACTATATTTGTTGCCTTGAAGACATGATGGGAGAATTAAACTTAATAAATGACCTCGTCCTAGATGAAATATCCTTCTTAGACCAAATATTTCTGCAAGGTATGGATTGAATCTTCATACCAAGTCCAACGAATTTTTGTCCTGCTGGAAACTAATTGAGAAGGAAATTAACAGGAATTAAGGTGAGATGAACAAGGTGAGTTGCAAAAGTGCAGGCTCAGATCCTGCTAAATTTTAATATTTGCTCATGGTGACTTTTTTGCATTAATTTTAATATTTTTAAATAATGTATTAAAACATTATTTATTTTGATTGCTAAGTTTTGTGCTTACCCATTTAATTGTGTTCCTAAGGGGAGTACCTCACTTACCTCACCTTGTAACAGATTCTATACAAGGTATACCTGGGATTAGATATAAAGAACAATGAAGTCAGAACTGTGATATGGGGGTTTCCACTCCAGCTACCTGAAACTGAGGTTGCCCTATCTTAGTGAGTTCAAAGCTGGAGATTCTGTAAATAGACACGGGGACTGTGAGGTCCCTGCACAAACAGGTCATATCTGTAAATTAAACTTTGTGATTATAATAATTTTTTTTTTGAGATAGAGTCTTGCTCTGTCACCCAGGCTGGAGTGCAGTGGTGCAATCTCAGCTCACAGCAACCTCCACCTGCTGGGTTCAAGCAATTCTCCTGCCTCAGCCTCCAGAGTAGCTGCGATTACAGGTGCACACCACCACACCCGGCTAATTTTTTAATTTTTACTAGAGATGGGGTTTTGCCATGTTGGCCAAGCTGGTCTTGAACTCCTGACCTCAGGTGATCTGCCCGCCTTGGCTTTGAGAACAAGAACCCCATGTCTGCTGGTGTGTTAGTCGATTTTGTGTTGCTATAAAGAAATATGTGAGGCTGGATAATTTATAAGGAAAAGAGGTTTATTTGGTTCACAGTTCTGCAGGCTGTACAAAAAGTGTAATGACAGTATCAGCTTTTGCTGAGGCCACAGGAAGCTTACAATCATTGCAGAAGGCAAAGTGGGAGCTGGTGTATGACATGGTAAGAGAGGGAACAAGAGAGATGCCAGACTCATTTATTTATTTATTTATTTATTTATTTATTTATTTATTTGAGACAGAGTCTCACTCTGTAGCCCCAGCTGGAGTGCAGTGGTGCGATCTTGGCTCACTGCAACCTCTGCCTCCAAGGCTCAAGCAATTCTTGTGCCTCAGCCTCCCGTGTAGCTGGGACTACAGGTGCACTCCACCAGGCCTGGCTACTTTTTTGTATTTTAGTAGAGGTGAGCTTTCACCATGTTGCCCAGGGTGGTCTCGAACTCCTAAGATCAATCAATCCGCCGGCCTCAGCCTCTCAAAGTGCTGGGATTACAGCCGTGAGCCACTGTACCCGGCCTAGACTCCTTTAAACAACCAGCTTTTGCATGAACTAATGCAGGGAGGACTTATTCGTTACTATGAGGAAGGCATCAAACCATTCATGAGGTCTCCACCCCCATGACCCAAACACCTCCCACCAGGGCCTACCTCCAACATGGGAATCACATCTTAACATGAGATTTGGAAAGAACAAACATCCAAACTATATATATATATATATATATATATATATTTTTTTTTTTTTTTTTTTTTTTTGAGATGGAGTCTTGCACTCTCGCCCAGGCTGGAGGGCAGTGGCACGATCTCGGCTCACTGCAACCTCGCCTCCCGGGTTTACGCCATTCTCCTGCCTCAGCCTCCCGAGTAGCTGGGACTACAGGCGCCAGCCACCATGCCCGGCTAATTTTTGTATTTTTAGTAGAGATGGGGTTTCACCATGTTAGCCAGGATGGTCTCGATCTTCTGACCTTGTGATCAGCCCGCCTCGGCCTCCCAAAGTGCTGGGAATTACAGGCGTGAGCCACCGCGCCTGGCCATCTAAACTATATCAGCTGGTGGTTTGCCCTAAGCTTTTCTCCCCTAAGTTTCTTTTTTCAGAAATAAAGTTTGTCTTTATCTGACGTCAGCAGATTGGTGTTTGTTTTGCCTGCTGTATTCCTTTAGTTTCTAAAATAGTCCAAATTCCTCACCCTTCCCTGAAAATGTTGCTCTTACGTTGACATAATGTCTAGTTTCATTCAGCAGTTAATATTATAATATAGTACTCAGATTAGAGTTTGCAGCTGTTGTCGTTAAATTTAGGTCATTCTAAATTTACAAGTTAGTTGGGAAGAAAACAACCGCAAATTCTCAACCCTCATCACCATTTCTGCCTCTCAGTGCTCATATAAAGTCACTACAGAAAAAGAAGGAAAGCAGCAATTAAACAAGCTCATCTGTAACACGATTAATTTTTAACTCTTTAATTCACTTGTTTCTCATAGGAAACTACATTAACATGACAGGTTGTTGTTTTTTTTGTTTTTTTTTTTTTTGAGACGGAGTCTCTCTCTTCTCCCAGGCTGGAGTGCAGTGGCGCCATCTCGGCTCACTGCAAGCTCCGCCTCCCAGGTTCACGCCATTCTCTTGCCTCAGCCTCCTGAATAGCTGTAATTACAGGCTCCTGCCACCACGCCTGGCTAATTTTTTGTATTTTTAGTAGAGACGGGGTTTCACCATGTTAGCCAGGATGGTCTTGATCTCCTGACCTCGTGATCCGCCCGCCTTGGCCTCCCAAAGTGCTGGGATTACAGGCGTGAGCCACCGCATCCAGCCATGACAGTAATTTTTGAAAATGCATTGGCACAGCAATTCAAGAAGAGGAAATTGGACCCATGTTCTCTAAAGGACTTCCCAGCAATAATGTGCTGGGCTGTTCAGAATTATCACTGAGAAAAGGCTATGCCCATGTGCACAACTGACCTGACCTCATGTGCACATCAGTTCACCTCAACCACCATCCCGTCTGCTAAAATAAGTCACATTGGTTGCCTCCCAAAGTTCTCTATTCAAACCAGTAAACTCAGTTAAATAGGTTGTGAATAGGAAAATCCAAAAGTCACTGGGAAAAGATGTTATAAACTAAAATATTCATAGAAACATTTTTTTATGAAAGCCAAAAAAGGAAAAATAAACAACTAAGATGCCTAAAAACCAAAAAATGGATGAATAAAATGTGGCAGATGCATTCAGTGGAATATCATATAGCAGTGAAAATTAAGGACATTAATTACATGTATCAGCATGCCTGAATCTCAAAAACTCAAGTTGAACAATAATAGCTTTTAAAAAATCACAGAGTTAATATGTATGTTCCAAGTCTATGAAGTCTTCAAAAAGAGGAAAAACAGGCCAGGCACAGTGGCTCATGCCTGTAATCCCAGCACTTTGGGAGGCCGAGATGGGCGGATCACGAGGTCAGGAGATCAAGACCATCCTGGCTAACACGGTGAAACCCTGTTTCTACTAAAAAACCAAAAAAATTAGCCAGACGTGGTGGCGGGCGCCTGTAGTCCCAGCTACTCGGGAGGCTGAGGCAGGAGAATGGCATGAACTCGGGAGGTGGAGCTTGCAGTGAGCTGAGATTGCGCCACTGCACTCCCGCCTAGGCGACAAAGCAAGACTCCATCTCAAAAAAAAAAAAAAGGGAAAAACAAAAGAGTATATTCAAAGAATCACAAACAAAAAGTAAAGGAATGATAAACAAAATTTAGGATAGCGTTTACCTTGGGGACTAATAAATATGGGTAATGTTTAATTTATTAAGCTAGGAGATGGGCACATATATTTTCATTCATAGAACTTTTTTTCCTAAATGTATGTGTATGATATATGTCACATGCATGACATATATGTGCATGACATGTGATATATATGTGAACTACATATAGTTCACAAAAACTAAATGTAGATATGGTATACAATCACACAAAAGCATTTAATGTATCAATGTGTCTATATATACATTTATGCCTAACTTATGACAATAAATATACTCTCAAATACCTGGTCGTCATTAAATCTAATATGTAGAATATTAAAATATGAAAGAGGATGCTGTATTTGTTATTAGTCATTTTTCTCCGGTCTATTTTCTTTTACATCATTTAATAAATTAGTAGAGAACTTTCCTCCCATTCCTTTTAGTGTTTTAAAATCTTTTAATTTAAAAATTATAGCTCTTAGATAATTGCCTTATATATTGTTTTTAAATTTTGTTTCCTATGGGTTGCTGTAAATCTATCCTAAGTGGCAAAGTTTTAAAAACAATATGGGTCAAAAGTGCACAAAGCTCTGAAAATGAGAAAAGAAAATGACCAAACCTTTAAGATTCCTAGCATTATTCTGCCTATCACCATAATGTTTGCTTGGAGGGAGGCAGGCTATGAACTGAACAACCTAATTTATGGCTGATGTGCTCTCTGGCCATTATGGGCAGAATGTGGGCTTCTTCACAGCAGTGGCTCTCAGCATTTCTCTTCATGTTCTATGGGCTACAGCAAGTCACATGACCAATCCCAACTCCATTGTGTCAGGGATGTATAATCCTCTTACTTGGAGGACAGCAAGTAATTGGGAACAGTAATACAATTTGGCACACAAAACAAATCTTCAGAGAGTGTCAGTGTCAAGAGAAGCATTTGTCCTAGAAAAAGTTACTCTAAACTTGCAAAAAGATAAAAATCATAATGCTTGATTAAAAAAATACTGAATTATTTTCTAATTATTTACTTGACCCTAACCTGACAACATTTATAGGAGTGATATCAAGTCAGACTATTTACAGACTGTGAGTCTAGAGGTCAGCAGCAAAATTTAGAAATTATCATGACTCTGTAGTCCAGTGGTTTACTGTCATAAAAGATATATTTTATAATGAAATAGACCACCAAGTAGAACAACAGACCACTGAAATAAACCATCAAATGACATCCTATAATTTAAAGGTATGATGAAAAATGGAAAGAGTTGTAAATGTTTCTTCTAGAGTTGTCATTTGGTGCTTCTGTTAGAAGGGCTATGGAGGAGGCCGGGCGCAGCGGCTGACGCCTGTAATCACAGCACTTTGGGAGGCTGAGGCTGGCGGATCACGAGGTCAGGAGATAGAAACCATCCTGGCTAACACGGTGAAACCCTGCCACTACTAAAAATACAAAAAAATCAGCCGGGTGTGGTGGCAGGCGCCTGTAGTCCCAGCCACTCGGGAGGCTGAGGCAGGAGAACGGCGTGAACCCGGGAGGTGGAGCTTGCAGTGAGCCAAGATCGCGCCACTGCACACTAGCCTGGGCGACAGAGCGAGACTCCATCTCAAAAAAAAAAAGAAAAAAAAAAAGTTTGACACAGTTTGATCTATTTCTAACACCTGGTGGCATTTTTACAGCATAACCTTTAAAAAGTCATTCTAGAATATCCTAATAGATGTATACATCCCTCTACCTAAATTTTTGTAGATGTTATTTGCCTACATAGTGAATGACATTGTATTTCAGCGGAATTTATTATTCAACTTTTAAAAACAAATCTCCTGCATTTACATCCATTTTCCATATATCTATGTCGTAAAGATAATGAATTTAATTGGACAATTTTCTTTCAAATGTGTGCAGGCTCCTTCCACTTCCAGGTCTGAAAGAGGACAGTATATTTTATAGACCACACGATTGCCAGAGTGGAAACTGGAGTGAGTGGAAGATTCCACATAGTTTTACTTGTGATACTCTAGAGACTAGTGGTGAGGTGTCTTGGAGATGGCATAATAATACAAATAACTAAATATTACTGAGTTGTTACTGTATATGGCACTATGTTAAAGGTTTCATAGGCATCACTCCTCATCACAACAATAATAGCCCACCTCGGCCTCCCAAAGTGTCTGTCCCTTCTTTATTCACCAGCCACAATGACACACAGAACATAGTAGGAAGAAAATAGTTTATATTTATTCCTAAGAATATAAACTTCTGTTACCATTCTAAATTTCCAGAAAAACTTATTGTGAGTGCTAAACTAATATCATCCTGACCTAAGACAAATTGTCAGTTCCTAAGGGTGAGATTTATAGGAGAAAACCATGTCTACGCTTGAGGCAGAGTTCTTAGTAGAGATACAATAGCCAGTTGCTATTATTTCAAAGTTTGTCTGTCCCTAAATATTGCCTGCTTAGGTTTGACTATGCTAGGATTAGTGATCATCTGCTCTGAATTAAAGGTTTAGATGCGCTCTTCCCAGGATAAAATTAAGTTTGGGGACTTTCTCTTTTCCTGGGAGCAAAAACCTCAGGAACTAAGTGCCATATGCTGGAAGATGGAAACATTCCAACAGCCAGAAGTAGAGGGAAGATAAAAATGGCTTCCCTAAAGCAAGGCAAATCAGCGACAGCCACTCCTGTGGCCACCACTAATCACTTGTAAATGAATGCTGCGATGTGTTTCAAAAGCCCTCATTCTGACTCTGCCTGATCTGCTACTGAAATGTTAATTATATGCCTAATCTTCTCTTGCAAGCAAAGGCAGCAGAGTTGCTAAAGATCATAGCAGGTAAAAGCCTTCAAGGAGAGGTAAGGAGTAAATGGAGCTGGGAGAGAATGCTGTCTCTCAGGACAGAGCCTGGCTCATTGAAAGGGCATAGTCCTACCCTATAAGGGATGCCTCCCAGTGTGACCAGGTCTTCTATGATTTCTTTTTATGAGAAACCAGAAATCTGATTATGTTCATGAGAAATTGGAGTTTTACAAATTAGCAAAACTGTGCTGTGCTGAGAAAATAGAATAAACCTGAAGGCCAGAGGTGTGCTGGGAGAGTCACTTACAGAACCAGAGCAAATACTTAGATAGAGCAATGATGTGTTTTAATAAAAACAGGGACTACTGTGCTTTGTAAATGTCTTTATGCCTTCTAAACGTCCTTTCTCCTGAAGTCTATAACGTGACATGGGATAGCAAAGTATTTTTTGGCATGAACCATTGCATTGAATATCTTAACCCATTTGTGTTGCTATTAAAAAAACTCCTGAGACTAAAAAATGTATTTAAAAAAGAGGTTTATTTGGCTCATGATTCTGCAGCCCATACAGGAAGAATGGCAGCAGCATCTGCTCAGCTTCTGGTGAATTTCTCATGTTGCTTCCACACATGGCGGAAGGCAAAGGGAAGCCAGCATGTAGTGAGATCACATAGTGAGAAAAGAGGAAAGAGTGGGGAGGGGGTGCTAGGCTCTTTGTAACAACTAGCTTTCTTGGGAACTAACAGAGAGCTCATTCATCCCCTCTCCCCGGGGAGGGCAACAATCTTTTCATGAGGGATCTGCTCCCAAGACCCTAACACCTCCCATTAGGCCCCACCTCCAACACAGGGGTTCAAATTTCAACATGAGGTTTAGGAGACAAACATCCAGGCTATGTCATTGGATCCCTAATAGGCTGAAGTAATGTGTTAAAAATAAGTTGTAAATAATTATATGCAAAAACACATAGCATTTTGGAAACTTTGCAAGATAATGAAAATATTTATCTGGATTTTAACTTAATTCACTCCGTATTCTACACAAACATATTTTTAAAAGATAATACAATATTTGAGACATTAATATATGTTAGATAACCAATTTACATCCTCAAGAGCTAAGAAAGTGTTAAGTTGCCCTTTCTTAATAAAAACAAAATTTATGATGTTAACTGTTTTTTGTTTGTTTGTTTGTTTTATTGAGACAGAGTCTTGCCCTGTTGCCCAGGCTGTAGTGATCATGGCTCACTGCAGCCTTGACCTCCTGGGCTCAAGTGATTCTTCCACCTCAGTCTTTGGAGTAGCTGGGATTACAGGCGCATGCCAACATATCTGGTTATTTTTTGTAGAAGCTGTGCTTCACCATGTTGCCCAGGCTGGTCTCAAACTCCTGGGTTCAAGCAATCTGCCTGCCTTGACCTTCCAAAGTGCTGGGATTTTAGGTGTGAGCCACTGTGCCTGGCCTATGACGATAACTTTTTTAAAAGACAAAATTAGAACAAATTTAGTTATAGATGTAATTGGCTTCTATTTGTAAGTCATGAATCAGGGCAGCCTGCATTCTACAAAATAGGATGAGAGCTTCCACAGACAATGGAAGAACGGTAGCTTCTGTAAAATGAGAACAATTAAACAAAACAATAGACAAAAAGCTGATTGGTTAAGATCAGGGTTAATCCAGGTTAATTTGTTGTAAGGGTTAAAGCAGAGAAAAGTTCCTTTTTGCACTGACTCAGGTAGACCGGAATTTCCTGTCTTGAGGAAAAACTGCTCTGTTCTGGGACCTGTGTACTTTCTTAAAGTTTCAGTTTGATTATGTGGTTTAACATAGCACATGAATAACAATGCGATTAATTTAAAAGAGTTATTATAATAAATTTTGATAAATTTGCTCAGTCATTATCTCTAATAATCAAATTATCTCAAATTTAATTAATTGCAGTATGTGTCATTTATTTCAAAAGTGAAATAAAAACCTGTTCCACAAATCACAGTTTAGTTTATTTTCAAATTCAAACTTTACTTGCTTCACTGAATCTAGCAAAAGTAAATGTTTCAAAATAATGCAAAAAAAAGAGGTTTGTAAAGTTGGTAAGAAAATATTTGCTGAGCAAGTAATCAGATGTTTATTGTCTTACCTATGTCATTTCTTATATATTTACATTCACATTGATTTGTATTAGCTATCAAGTTAATCATGTTAAAAAAAGTGGTACCATAATGAATTGTGTTTGATGTTGAAATTAATATTTAAAGATTTAAAAATTATGAGAGAGTATTCTGTGTTATCTCAGAATACTGGTAATGTCTTAAAGATTTCTGGCTACAAAGTAGTTTTACAAGACATTAGTTTTATGGGCACTGCATGCATTGCATTGATCAAAGCAGCATTGCATTGGTATTTAACACTAGGCCATGACTGAAAGGGCTTCAGAAGACATCATGATGAACTACATACAGAGTAATGGCAAGTTTACTATAAAATTAACATTCTCAGTTGTCACAAGAAATCTGACAATCACTAAAATGGCAAGCACTGTGTTCTATTTGTGTCCTTTTCAGACATGATTGATAAGAATTTGTTACCTTATTAGCATGTCATAAGTAGACAGCAAAGTATGTTTTAAATTTGAAAATTATTATTTTCTGCTCACGTTCTACTTTCAGCAATGTACACAGTGATAGTAATGAAAGCAGCCATCAGAATAGTCTATTTTCTTCATAGTTAGCTGCCAAATACTTCTTTTTTTCTATCCAGATCATACTTGTATTGCTTTTGTGCCTTTGAGCATAGTCATAAATTAGTACACAGAGGAAGCAGGGCAGTGACAGCTATACATTTTTCTATAGAAGATCAGCTATTAAATCAAGAACCAAGAGAACCATCTCAGCCTGGACACTGAGAACCGAAGCCACACCTTCCCACTGATATTAACATGACTTTGTTATTCTATTGTTCCATTAGTATTACTTTTCGAGGACTGTCCTACCTAAAGAATGGTTTGATTTTTCATTATAGGAACTTCCCAAATGCTTTATCAACCTTCAGGGGAAGTCATAGACCGAGTTTACAGCTTGAGTCTTTGAATCCTTCCCCACAAATCCTCACCTCACTATTTTCTCTAAGCCCAGACTGTTGTATCATGATTCTCACACAATTCTAATCAAATCCTCTCCTTCAGAGACCCATCTTAAACCAAACTTGCAATTCTCAATAAATTCTGATCTCCCCTTCTCTCCTCTGAGATGCTGATAGAAATTTACAAAGGCTGTACTCTCTCCCTTGCCAGTGTATTAGTTTTCTATTGCTGCTGTAACAAATTACCACAAACAGTGTTGTAAACAATCCAGACTTGTTATCCTACAGTCCTCTTGGTCAGACATTCAATGTGGGTCTCACTGACCTAAAATCCAGGCATCAGCAGGGTAGAGGTTCCTCCTGCAGGCTCTGGGCTCCTGTGTCTGACTTTTCCAGCATCTAGAGGCTGCCTGCTGTCCTCAGCCCCTGGCCCCTTCCTCCATCTTCACAGTCAGCAATGATAGGCTGGGAGGCCTTCTCACGCTGCCATCTCTTTGGTTCTTTCTCTTCTGCCCCCCTCTTCCACTTTTAAGAACTTGTGATTAGCCCCATCTGGATAATCCAGGATAATCTCCCTATTTCAAAGTGAGTTAACAACTTTAATTCCAAATGTGGTCTTAATTTCCATTTTTCATGTAAGTTCACATGTTCACATATTCCAGAGATGAGTGTGTGGACATCTTTGGGAGGTCAATTATTTTCCTGCCACATAGGTAAGCAATAAACTTCGCAATAAGCCGGGTGCTGTGGCTCATGCCTATAATCCCAGCACTTTGGGAGGCTGAGGCGGGTGGATCACCTGAGGTCAGGAGTTCAAGACTAGCCTGGCCAACATGGTGAAACCCCACCTCTACTAAAACTACAAAAAATTAGTTCGGCATGATGTCACATGCCTGTAATCCCAGCTACTCAGGAGGCTGAGACAGGAGAATCGCTTGAACCTGGGAGGCAGAGGTTGCAGTGAGCCGAGACTGCGCCACTGCGCTCCAGCCTAGGCGACAAGAGCGAAACTTCATCTCAAAAAAACAAAAAAACTTTGCAATAAATAAGCAATCAACTTTGTCTCATCAACATGTTATGTTGGTGATAATTGGGGATACAGCTTTGACAAGCAATTAGCACAAACATGACCTACTTGCAGAAACTTGTCATAGCTATTATTCTAAATATGGTAATAGATGACTGTAATAATCCAAGCCAAGAATTATGACATTTTAAATCCACACACACTCTTACTCCTGGAATATCCTCAAATGGACATTAACATACAAATATTTTAATTAGATTCTTTTAAATTCTTAAGATTATGTGATATAACCCAAAAGTGGGGCTGAAATGTCAGGTGACAATAACACCCAAATGGAGGTTCCACTCAGCACCTCCAGGGACACCCCCCCCAACATATATACACTCTTTACAGAAACATATTTGGAAATGAATTCATTATTCATAAGTAGTTGTGAATAGTTAGAAAATAGATTTTACATTTCACATTCAATAAAACTCCCACAGAATGTCAATTCTGATTATTCGTGGATTTTGTATTTTCAAATCCACCTTCTTGCTAAAATGTATTTGTATTTGCAAATTCACCCACCTGCTAAAATTTATTACTAACCCCAAAATTCACACCCACAGCACCTTTGTTGTCATACACAGACTGGCCAAAAATTTCATTCTCCCAGCTTGCACATTCCCAGCTGATGTTGAACAAAACCGTGTTCTGCCTTCTTGTTTCAACTCTCATACTAAAATCAAGTGTCCTTTTCACAATCTGTTTAGTGTCGTGGTTTTCATATTTTTGTGCTTTTTTGGTGATTTTGATGTTTACAATGGCCCCCAAACATAGTGCTAAAGTGCTCTCAAAGCACAAAAAGACCGTGATGTGCATTATGGAGGCACATGTGACATAAACTTTGTTCAGATATGACCTATAGTATAGTGCCATTGGCTATAATCTCAATGCTGATGAATAAATTTTATATGTTAAATAAGGTGTCTTTAAACAGAAACACATATAAAACAAGATTATGTCTTGATCATTTGATGAAAATGTTGCAGCCAGAGGCTCACAGAAACTTCCCCTTACATTTTCCCAAGAAGCAACAATTTAATACTTGCTAATGTTGGAGCTCTGAAAACCATATCCTCAAAAATGGCACTTTGACGTGTTGAGTGCTTTGAATTAAATAAAATTGAAAGGCCTCAGAAATAAGCCTCAGGACCAACACTCTGTCTAACACCATCAGCCCCCCCAACCCCACCCTACTGTATTAGTCTGTTCTCATGCTGCTGATAAAGACATACCCAAGACTGAGTAATTGATAAAGAAAAAGAGGTTTAATGGACTCACAGTTCCACATGGCCGGCGAGGCCTCACAATCACAGTGGAAGGCAAAAGGCACACCTTACATGGCAGCAAACAAGAAAGAATGAGAACCAAGTGAAAGAGGTTTCCCCTTATAAAAACATCAGCTCTCATAAGACTTATTCTGTTCCAGGAGAACAATATGGGGATATGGGGGGAACAGCCTCCATGACTCAATTATTTCCTACTGGGTCCTTCCCACAACATGTGGGAATTATGGGAGCTACAATTCAAGATGAGATTTGTGTGGGGACGTAGCCAAACCATATCACCTACCATCCTCTTTCTTTCCTGAAGCAAGGAAGCAAGAAAGGAGAGGCTTTTGCTGAAGTTTCCTTATCTGATTAAGTCTGACCAAGGGAGGTTTCTCCAGAAGAAATGCAGTGTTTTTGTTTGTTTGTTTGTTTCAATTTAGCCCAGTCAAATTGACATATACAAATGCAGGGTTTTTTTGTTTGTTTGTTTTTGTTTTTTGAGACGGAATCTCTCTCTGTCACCCAGGCTGGAATGCAGTGGCGTGATCTTAGCTCACTGCAACCTTTGCCTCCTGGATTCAAGCAATTCTCCTGCCTCAGCCTCCCAAGTAGCTGGGATTACAGGCATGTACCACCATGCCCGGCTAATTTTTTTGTATTTTTAGTAGAGACAAGGTTTCACCATATTGGCCAGGCTGGCCTCGAACTCCTGACCTTGTGATCCACCCACCTCGACCTCCCAAAGTGCTGGGATTACAGGCATGAGCCACTGTGCCCGGCCTGTTTTTTTTTTTTTTTTTTTTTGAGACGGAGTCTCGCTCTGTCACCCAGGCTGGAGTGCAGTGGCGCAATCTCAGCTCACTGCTAGCTCCACCTCCCAGGTTCACACCATTCTCCTGCCTCAGCCTCTCGAGTAGCTAGGATTACAGTTGCCCGCCACCACGCCCGGCTAATTTTTTGGTATTTTTTAGGGGAGACAGGGTTTTACCGTGTTAGCCAGGATGGTCTCGATCTCCTGACCTCGTGATCCACCCTCCTCGGCCTTCCCAGAGTGCTGGGATTACAGGCGTGAGCCACTGCACCGGGCCAGAAATGCAGATGTTTTAAAACTCCCTCTCTACAGATCTTATCATATAACCAGGAAAGAGTAACCACCAGAGAGGAGAAAATAAGTCATTACCATGTCCAGACAGACTTTTCATCTATCCTTCTGAGGGCAGCTCAGAGAGATTATGGGAAAGATTTTATCTGCATAATGACAACCTTTGTTTACAATGAAGTTCTGGTCTCACCTTTCCATAATTTGCTTGTACTTCCCCCAGAGCTCAGACGAACTTTGTACCAGGCCAATTGTCTTTTCTTTGAGCTCATTCATTTTCCCTAAAATAATTTACTTTCCCTCTAGATGTGCCCACAGTCCCCCTTTTCCCTGTCCCCTGTGAATAGGATATTTAAGAATTAACCAACTAGAGGGCATTTAAGGCTTAACCAAAGCTCTTCTTTGAGTCTCATATTTTTAGGACTCCCATCTCCATGTGCATATTAATAAATTGCATGCATTTTTCCCTTGTTAATCTGTCTATTGTCAGCTCATTTCAGCAGTGAACTATCAGAGGGCAGAGGGGAAGATTTCTCTCTGCCCCTACAGTAATTTGATATTTACAGAAACTTTATAGAACATAACTACTGTGAATAATGAGAATCAACTGTATATGTCACCTTTGAATACCTCTCTTCTCTCTTCACTGCATTCCTTTGGCACAGAGATGGAGCCAAACTCTAGTGGCTAGGGAAGTAAATAAAAGACTGGGTCTGAGTCACCTGTTTCCCTAAAGGTAGCATCACCCTCTGAAGGTGCCCCTTACAGGCCTCTCTGGGAAGGGTTTCACAATCTCCTTCCACACTTTACAGTTGGCAAATTATGGAGCCAAGGGCCAAATCCAGTGCCCATTTGGGCAACAAGCTAAGAATGTTTTTTACATTAATGACAGGCTGTGGAAAAAAAAAAAAACAGCAAAGAAAATAATATGACCTAAAACTGTATGTGACACATAAAGCCTAAATATTTACTATCTGGGCCTTTACAGAAAAAGCTTGCTGACCCCTTCTTTGCAGCCTCAAGTATAGCAAATATCTAGTGTTTGGGAAATAATTTAAAACAAAACCTGTTCAGGAAACCTCTCCACAAAAGTAGAATAGATGTTGTTGAATAAGCACTAAAGCTCACTTCAATGTGCATCACAAGAAATCTGCCAAAGAGATTGAAAAACAGACAGAAATCTCACCCTTTCATGTGGCCAAGTAGGTAAAACCCTCACATACACGTTCTCAAGATCGATGATAAGTAGTTTGCAAGTAAGTAAAAGGACTTGACAGCACCACTTGCCACATAGAGTTCATCCCAGATTCACTGGGTAATTGAAATTGGCCATGGGTGCTTGCTAATTACCTTTATCCAAAGGAAAAACAAATTCTCATATCTTTATACCAGGAGGTAGTTTTGCAATGTGGAGCCCGACGCCTAGGTAACATTAGGTTCCTACCCTCCCATGAAAATGTCAATAAAAAGAGTCCAACTTTGTAACACATTTGTAGAAATTTATTCTGAGCCAAATATGAGTGACCATGACCCATGACACAGCCCTCAGGAGATCCCGAGAACATGTGTCCAAGGTGGTTGCAGCACAGCCTAGTTTTATACATTTTAGGGAGACATGAGACATCAATCAAATACATTTAAGATATAAGTTGGTTCAGTCCAGAAAAGTGGGACAACTCAAAGCAAGGGGGTGTCCGGGTTATAGGTAGAATGAAAAATTTCAGATTGGCAATTGCTTGAAAGAGTTATTATCATAGAAAACAATGTCTGGGTTATGATAAGAGGTTGCAGAGACCAAAGTTTTATCATGAAGATGAAGCCTCCATTTCGCAGGCTTCAGAGAAAATAGATTGTACAGGTTTCTTCTCAGACCTAAGGCTTGTGTTGATGTTAAATGGTGATTGGCTTTTCCTGAATTCCAAGAGGAAAGAGGGCATAATGAGGCATATCTGACCCTCCCTCCCCATTGTTGTGGGACTTTTCCTTAGTTCAGCTAAAGATGCAGTCTTTGTCCCATGGCCACGAAAATTTAGGCTTGCAGACGAGTTGAAGGGTGAGTAAAGCAGGGTTTTATTGGGTGAAAAGGAAAAAAAAGGGGGAACAGGGACCCTCTGCAAAGTCAGAGTCTCTGCTGGTGTGCTTCCTGCCTTGCAGATTGAATCCCAGTTTCCACACAGGAAGAGGTGGGACCAGGCTCCTCCCTCTGCAAACAGTGCAAACTTCTGTGGCTCCACCCCAAGGTGCATTCCTTCCAGTGTGGGCTGGTTGCAGTTTCACTGGGGACCCTCTCCCACCTGGCTGTCTCACCATCATGGCCTAAACCAGTCTTTCAGGTTAAATTTAGGGTGCCCTGGCAGAGGAGGGGTCCATTCAGATGTTTGTGAGGGGTGGAGGGGGTGGCTATGAGTTTTATTTTTGGTTTATAAAGATGAGGGGATGAGGTACAATCCTCCTTGGTGATTCTATCTCAGAGATAGTTCCAGACCCTTGAGAAACACATTCCTACATTGTAAAACCTGCAAGAGACTTATCTTTTTTCTTTAAAAAATTGCTATATCCCTAAGAAGCAGAGAAAGAATTTATGTTTCTGAAAGAAAATATTCTGAGGAAATGGTGGTGGTGGTGGTGGAGATCTCTTTCCCTTTTTCCATCAGGGAGAATTATTATTTTTTTCCTATGTTCCATTTGTATTTACTGTTACACTAGTTAACTAAGTATCTAGCCAAAAGGAACTATAATTTGAGAAGGTGGTTCCCATGACTTCTCCTCTTTCTTTTCTTTCAGACTTCTGCTTCCTCAGAAATGCCCTCATTTTGTCCCAAGGTACTCAGATCTGTCACTCTACTTGAATCCAATCAGCAAAACAACAGCTCTGCAGTTAGCTGACTTGCTTCTAACCTCCATCATCTAAAGTAGAATATTAACCTCTTATATCGTTATTCAAAATTGTCACCTGGGGTTTCAGCTCCTATTCTAACAGGTCAATAGAAGCATTTCCTGAAGAGAAACAGGAGTGTGTGTGTTTTGGGAGTACGGAAGATATTTCTACTAAGAAAAGGAGTTTTTCTCCACAGTGTTAACATTAGAAATCTAGCACCTATCATTTCACAAATTGAATACCTGAGGCTTAGGGAGGTGAAGTGACTTCCTTGAAGGAAACAAGTAGCAAATGTGGAGGTTCATGTCTGCAGCCTATAGAACCCAGGAACCCTCTTTCCACTATGCCAGACTAACCTGGGAACCCAATTAGCTGCCATCAAAAGTATAAGAATTCTTTTTATTTGCCTATTATCTCTCATGATAAGTGAATCAATTACTTACTGAGCACAATTCCTACAAAGTGCAAAATGACCAAAGTCCCCAGAGTAGCTTCCTCTACATCGTGAGCTGCAACTCCAGTAAAAGAGGCTGGCAACTCTCAAAGACAAAATGCACTGGACTGTGGAGCATATGATTTCATTAGGACTATTTGTAATAGAGAGAACATGGCCAGATCTCAGCAGGTTGTGACTGTTTAACTGGTGGTATAATTTACTATCAAAATTATTCTGCAATCGGGGGGGTCTTAGTCAACTCAACAGGAAATGTTTATCTTAGGATTTTGTTAGTTCGGAGGGACAAACAGTTCTAATCTTAGCTGATTAATAATGAGACAAAGAATGGGTGGTTGGAGGATCTGTGTTTTGCCTTGTCAGCAGACTTAGGCCAAAGGGGAAAGGTCTGTGTTTGATCTTGTCAACAGCAATGTGCTAATTGTGACTCCTAATGGGGATGGAGCTTGGTGTGTGCTTGGACATGGCATTCCATATGTGCCCAGGACATGCTGTCTTTTTAAGAGAAAATAAGAATCTGACCAGGCACGGTGGCTCATGCCTGTAATCCCAGCACTTTGGGAGGCCGAGGTGAGCAGATCACGAAGTCAGGAGATTGAGACCATCCTGGCTAACGTGGTGAAACCCTGTCTCTACTAAAAATACAAAAAAATTAGCCAGGCGTGGTGGCGGGTGCCTGTAGTCCCAGCTACTCGGGAGGCTGAGGCAGAAGAATGGCGTGAACCCAGGAGGCAGAGCTTGCAGTGAGCCAAGATCGCGCCACTGCACTCCAGCCTGGGCAACAGAGTGAGACTCCATCTCAAAAAAAAAAAAAAAAAAAAAAGAGAAAATAAGAATTTAATTTCTTCAGGGATCCTGAGTATCTCTCATTACCTAAAGTGTTCATTTATTACCAAATGATTAACTTTCTATTTATGTGTGAGGTTTGTGGGAGACCATAGAGAAGTTTTGTTTAAAACATCTACGTATTTCTTTACATAATTCATTTATTATATCCCTTGTTGAATGTTCTGGCTGAGAAAGATTTAATTTAAGCTTTCCATCAATGAGAACAAAGATGAGGCTTGCTGAAATATGTTGATGTTCACTGGACAGCAAATATCCTGCTCTGTTCTATATTCAAAGTTGAAAAGTGATGGAAACCTCATCCTCATCCTCAGGGCTCAGAAAAGTCACAAGGTCTTTGACTTTGAAGAGTGGAACAAGAGGGCAACATGTTTTCTAGTAAGTAAAGTAAGTGAGGCTATGGAGTAGGTTTCAGAGTGGCACTTTCAATCTTACTCGGACATGTCAAAGTCTTTACAAAGGCTTCTTCTAGACCTGTAAGCCTAGAATTAATATAAACGCTCACCTAGGTCAAATTCAATGATATTTATCTTAAAGGACTTTCAAATCTAAGTGGGTTTCAATAAGGCAAACCCTTCTGAGTCTTTTATTTCCCTAAGCATAAAATTCTATCTTCTCTACCTTCTGTACTTCTCAGCATTAGCAAAGGAATCTCATGATAATTGAATTCAATAGTAGTTTATCTGATGCCAACTATTTTCCCGTCTCTATGCTGGGCCCTGGGTACACAACAATGAAAACAATGTCCTCCTCTCCACTACCCAGGCTGCCTTCTCCTCTAAATTGAACAATTGTCTGTGATTCACCAACAACAAGAACTTTTCTTTACTTACCTACCTAAAATATATAAACACAATTGACAACTTTAGGCATGTTCTTTCAATTGGAGGACAATTACAAATAGTTGTCCTTTGTATTGATGAAAAGGCTAGTGGCAAGGTTGGTTGTGGCCTGGGCAGCAGGCTAGATGGGCCTCTCAGGAGGACTTGCTAGGTTGCAGTGCCCCAGAGCAATTTATGACATAAAATCTGTAATATTTGAGAGATAATTGTCACATCTTATAATCAAGATCAAATAACTGGGTTCTCCTTTTGTCTGCAAATGATGATTGTGCTTGCCCACGGTGAAGCCGACCTGCGTGTCAAGGAGCTCGATGAGGATGGAATCCCAGTGCTGGCTGCCAGGGTGAGGGTCATTTTGGTTGCAGGCGAGGGTGATAGAATGTTACCAAAAAGAGAGGAAAAACAAACTTTCAATTATGACAAGTGCAAAAATCTTTTTATTTTGAGGTTTAGCATTTCTCAAAATAATTACAGTTACATGCTTCCGTACTACATACTTCTCTCTCAAAGATTAGTTGGTTGGATTTATCTAGGGCTTGAACACAATATCCTATCAACCTTGTAATCCTTTACATATCATTTGTATTGTTTTTACTCATTTAGCTCAGTTTCCATTGAAATGTTACCTTTGCTCATTATTGCTACCTCTAAATGTCCTGTCCTTGTTTTTATGAGAACGGTGTGTAGCTATGTTGTTACATTAGAACTATATAAAGAGCATTAAAAGATGTACTTATTTCACAAATTGTTAAAATATAAACAAAATATAAAGCAAAAGACAATAGAGATATATAAACATAGCCCTTAAGAGCTGTAGATACACTCTTTTTTTGCCAAAGATTTCTATTTTTTATTGTAGATTTGGAGCGGGGGTACATGTGCAGGTTTGCTACAAGGATATATTGCATGATGCTGAGGTTTGGGTTTCAACTGAATCCATCACCCAAATAGTGAACATAGTACCCGATAGGTAGTTTTTCACCCTTTGCCCCTTCCCTCTTTTCTGTCCTTCAGATTCTCCAGAATCTATTGTTCTCATTTTTGTGTACATGTGTACCTAATGTTTAGCTTCCACTTGTAGGTAAGAACATGTGATATAAATATACTCTTAAATTGTTCAAAGACTATGAATGCATCAAAAATATTTCCAAATGCCTTGCCTGAGAGTTTTATCTGAGTGAAAAGAGTTTTCTTTTTATTAATCCCAGGTTGATATGAGCTCCACTTTGTTCTCTGTGGAGTAAAATCCTATCTCTCTGAGGTTTTTGTTTTTAACAATTCTCATTGATTTTTATTGTACATATAAAAATGAAATCATTTAAGAAGATTCATAATGACAAGATATCTGTAGGGTAAACCCAGAAAGGGTTCAAGCTTTATGACAGCAAAGGAAACAATTAATAGATTGAAAAGGCAACCTATAAAATAGGAGAAAATATTTGCAAACTATTTATCTAATAAGGTGTTAATATCCAACATATATAAGGAAACCCTACAACTGAATAGCCAGAAACAAATACCCAGATTTTTAAAAGGTGTACAGTACTTGGATTGACATTTCTCTAAAAGAATATCCGAGTAGCCAACACACATATGAAAAATGCTCAATGTCACTAATCAGAGAAATGCCAATCAAAACCATAATGAGATATCACTCCCCACTGGTTGTCAAAACAACAACAAAAAGATAACAAGTGTTAGCAAAGATGTGGAGAAGTTGGAATCCTTGTACTCTATTGGGAGTGTAAAATGGTGCAGCCACTATAGAAAACAGTATGGAGGCTCCTCAAAAACATTAAAAATAGAACTATCGTATGATCCAGCAATCCCACACTTGGTATTTATTCAAAAAATTAAGATCTTGAAGACATATTCGAACTCTCATGTTCATTGCAGCAGTACTCACGATAGCCAGGATGTAGAAGCCGCATAAAGACCCACCGACATATGAATAGATAAGGAAAATGTGGCATCTACTTACAACAAAATATTATTGTCTGAAATGAAATCCTTCCATATGTGGCAACATGGATGAACCTTGATGACGTTATGCTAAGCGAAATAAGCCAAAAGGAAAATACAGTGTGAGTCCGCTATTATATGTCCAATATAAAATAACCCCATTCACAGAAGCACAAAGTGCAGTGGGTTACCAGGGGCTGGGAGAAGTGGAAAATAGGGAGTTACTGTTTAACAGGTATAAAGCTTCAGGTATGCAAGATGAATAAGTCCTAGAGATCTGCTATGTACAACATTGTGCCTGTAGTTAAGAACACTGTGTTGTATTCCTAAAAATTTAAGAGGGTAGCTCTCATGCTGTTTTTATCCCAATTTTTAAAAATTAGATTGCATGGAAAAGAAGATCCTTGCACATGGACTTTTCCTCTTTCCATAATTTCAAATTGCAAGCAAATTAATCTGGGATGATGACTTATATTTCTCCTCAACTATAATTTTACTTCTGCCTCAGGAGGATCTCCTATGAATTTCTGATAACCTAGTTTTCCTGTGCTTCTCCACTCACAGGTTGTCCTAAAATCCTAGTTAATTTACATGCTTGAAATTGCTTGCATGGTTTTTTTTTTTTTTTTTTTTTTGAGACGGAGTCTCGCTCTGTCGCCCAGGCTGGAGTGCAGTGGCGGGATCTCGGCTCACTGCAAGCTCCGCCTCCCGGGTTCACGCCATTCTCCTGCCTCAGCCTCCCAAGTAGCTGGGACTACAGGCGCCCGCCACTACGCCCGGCTAATTTTTTGTATTTTTAGTAGAGACGGGGTTTCACCGTTTTAGCCGGGATGGTCTCGATCTCCTGACCTCGTGATCCGCCCGCCTCGGTCTCCCAAAGTGCTGGGATTACAGGCGTGAGCCACCGCGCCCGGCCGCTTGCATGGTTTTTAAATTTCAAATAAATAATACCTTTGATTGGACTCATGGGCTTCTGATCAAACCCATAGACTTTCTTTCATCAAAACTAAACACTTCAGTAGATCCTAGAAAAACAGTGAAAACTATCCAAGTATAAAAATGATGCTGAATAAGGTGTTTAAAATATATGAAGCTTTATACATACACATACTTCTTTAGTATGAGGTTATCTCTGGCCTATTCACTTAAGGAAAAACATACCACCAGAAATGGAATTCCCTTTCAGTATCAGAGGTTAATATGTTAAATCCCATTGTTAGCTAACATTTTTCTAAAATACACCAACTAGAAGTTTGTCTTATACCCTACTCTTTACTGCTCCTATCTTACACGTATCATTATGAAAACAAATAAATGTCCATTTTGTTTCCTTTTTAAAAAACATATGATAATCAAAACATTTGGTCAACGTCTACTCCATCTTTTTGTTTATTTAAAGACAACTTTTATGAAATGATAATATTGGAAAGTTATGATATCCTTCAGCTAGTTGCAAAGACTAAAGAAAATATGCTACTCAAGGTAAATGATTTGTAACCCCTGAGCAGAGTCACAGTCTCTCTCTCTCTCTGTCTCTCTCTCTCTCTCTCTCTCTCTCTCACACACACACACACACACACACACACACACACACACATTTTAGAATCTTCAAAAACCACTTCCAATACAAACTAGGTATCTGAAGTAAAGAGATACTCATTTTGGCTGAATAAAATGCAAATTCATTTTGTGTTTTTCAACTTATTTTTAGAGAAAGCTTTGAAATGACATTACAAGTCATGTCTTTTGCAGCCCTGTCATAACCATGTCACTGTACTTTCAGCTTCTCAATTCCTTGGCAGGTCACATGCATTGTCATGTTGAATATCAGTATTTTAAAAGAATAGCTGTCAACATCAGTGGCATCCTGAAAAAGATGTACAAAGAAGCTCATATTACCCAGAAAAATCTCACATTGTCTTTCATACTTCAGAAATAAAAAGGGAAAAGGAAAGGTAATTGTCCTTTAAACATACATTTATATAGATGCCAGAGAAACCAAATAAAATAGGAAGCTATTTTTCAACTGACATGTTCTAAGTCAATATAATGGCATTACATATTTTCTCAATTTGTTTAATTTGATTTTAAAAGTCACAAACATTTGAATCTACGGGTATGAATTTCATTCACATTATATATAATGTAAAATATTTACTTCCATGATTTTAAAAAGCTTGTCTATTTTGTGTAGTTTTCTTTTGAAAATTTAATGTGTTTTCTCACATCTTGTTAATGTACTTCTAAAAATTCATTTACCGAGTACACAATGAGTAAGCATCAAATTACATCTAAATAATCTGTTGATTGGACAGTTTCTCCTCATACACTACAGAACAATTAGGCACAATAGAAAAAAATCTCTATGTCAAATATAAGTGATTTTTAAAAGTGATTATTAATCATAATAACATAAGAACAATTGGAGCAGGGCCTTCAATATTGTCACATTTATGACAGTACAGTTATCTTTGTGTTACGAGTATCTTAAATAAGAATAGTAAGGTTTTATTTTATATGAGAACTATTTTTACAATTTAGCTAATTATAAAAAGTTTGCTTTGAGATATAGTCTAGGTTATTTTGGTATGTTCTTTTCTCTTTTTCATCTTGGCTAGTATTACTGTTAGATTGTAATAGCAATATTTATCCTCCATGGCATATAACATCTGCCATTTCAGTCTTCCGAAGTGATGTTGTTGGGGTTCAGAACACAATACTCCAACAGATGGCACCTTGGCCTGCTGAATACTTTGAACTAAAGGAGACTGGAGGCTTCAGAATCAAGGGCAAGGTCGCTGACCTTCTCCTGCCCTCCTGTCTCCCTCCCCTCTCATTACTCTGAAGCTGAAACCAGAATTCCTTTTCCCCAAGGCAAGTCACAGAATCTAGAGCCCCTCTTCCCCAAAGCAAGTCATAAAACCTAGAAAAGTCATTCTTTTCCTTCTCCCTTGAAGACTGTGTGTCCCACACCAGGAGAAATAAATGCAGCTTAGAGGCCAGGAAGACAGGTCTTGCTGGGTTCTTTCTCAGCCTATTACCATGGGATCATTCCTTTTTGTCCAATCACATTTCCACATCGCTGTCCCTTCTTCATGAAGCCTACCTATAAAAATAGATGATTTCCCTGGGTCTTTGGTTCTTCATTTTTGAAGGCTCTTCTGACATGTAAAACTTTGATTAAATTGATTTGCTATACTTTTCTTTAAACTGCCTTTTGTTATAGGAGTACTGGTTGTGACCTTTCTGATGGGGAACTTTGGAAAGGTATCACCCCTTTCTGCCCTTACTGTATAAAGAGTAAACAGGTAGTTGAGACACAGAACAATATCATAAAATTTCTTTTGTCCTTTAGACAAGGCCTTGACTTTTTCTCCATTGAGATTTTGATCGACTGCAAATAAAAATGGAAACTTATTTCATATATTTTAACATAAGACTATCCAACCATTTCTAGACTAAAAGCAGCGATCATGAAGCAGATTCTGCTAATCGGCTGTTTCTATTTCATTAGAATTTTTTGCATGGTTAACTGAGATTGTAACTGTAATTTTATTTTTTGTATTTAATCTTTTAAAAGTAATTTAGCTTTAATGTTGTACTTATTTCATAAAATGAATTAGAAAGCTTTTATCAGTTTTCAATTCTTCGGAATAGTATAGACTGCACTGGAATTTACTTCTCTTTAAAGGAGCGATACAATTCTCTTAGAAAGTAGTGGCCACCTAATATTCTGAAGGACTGACATTTTTCTTTGTCTTTTGCATGGAAGTCAGTCAATTTAGACTTTTCTAATTTTTATAGGATTCATTTTGTTAAATTATATTTTCTTGGAAAATTATATACTTTATTAAGATTATCAAACTAATTTGAATAACTAAGCTAAATAGATTCTTACAATTCTTTTAATTTCCTCATTAGCTCTTCTTTTTTCTGTTTTTGTTTTGTTTTGTTTTGTTTGTTTGTTTGTTTGTTTTGAGATGGAGTCTCCCTCTTGTCACCCAGGCTGGAGTACCGTGGCCCGATCTTGGCTCACTGCAACCTCCACCTCCTGGGTTCAAGCGACTCTCCTGCCTCAGCCTCCGGAGTAGCTGGAATTACAGGCACCCGCCACCACGCCTAGCTAATTTTTGTATTTTTAGTAGAGATGGGGTTTCGTCATGTTGGCCAGGCTGGTCCCGAACTCCTGACCTCAGGTGATCCGCCCTCCTCAGCCTCCCGAAGTGCTGGGATTAGTCATGAGCCACTGCGCCCGGCCCGGCCTGGAAATCTTATCTAAAACGTAGCAACTGCTGGAAAAAGGGCCTGGGGCCTGGGGGGCGGGGGTGGTTCTTGTCACAGCCCCCAGGCTCCTGTCTCAGGGATGAATGTGGCCTTCTCATTGGGATTCTTCTCTTGTCCAAAAGGGCTGCTTTTGGGGACTAACAATACTGGGGAGTGGGGGTGAAGCCAGACCTAGCTCAGGGTGAGGATTTCGGGGCCCTGGCTTACTGAACACACCCCACACCCCAACATTCTCCTCCTTCTATCTCTTCCTCTTCTCCCGACCGCTTTTGTGCCGGGGCTGCGAGCTCCCTGAGTTGTGCGGTGACTAAATCGAGGCCGAGAAGGGAGGCTGCCCCCCAACCCTGTGGGTCAGTGCCCCTCTGCCAGCCTAGGAGAAAGTGGGTTTACAGCAGCCGAGCTGGGGGTTATTTTGGCTGGAGCTGCTGGAGCAGAAAGGCAGGAGTCTGAAATGCTCGGCAGGGTCTGGGGACCTTGTTGGACCCGCCTGGTGACCGGCTGGGCTGTCGCGTCCTACACGGGAGCTCCGGGCTTTCATTTCTCTTGTGGTGGGGTGGGGATTAACTCAGCTATTCCCATGGTAAGCCTGGGTCTCTAATTGGGCCCTGGGAGCCCTGTTAGGCCACCGGCATTGGGGGTCGGTGAGGAAGGGGACTCCCCAACTCCCCCGACTCCCAACCGCCCAACCTCCGCATAGCCTTGGAGACCCCTGGGGGAGGGGGCTGGGGGGCTTCTGAGCCCCTGAGTCTAGGTTCACTCTCCCGTCGGGCTGTGGGAGGGGACTTTCACTTTCCTTTGTCTTTGGGGACGGGACCCCACTTTCTTCTGATCTCAGGGCCATTGACACACACCCCCTTTCCAGGAGGGGGTGGTGGGCAGCTAGGTTCTCCCTGCCCCTTCCCGGGGCCGGCACCGTAGCAGCACAATCACCCCGGGAAGGGGGTGTCTTTTCGCCCCAAGACGCAATCGGGCCCCACTCGCAGAACCGCCTGGACCCCGTCCGTGTCTGCCCTCCGGCCTCCAGGGCTCCTCTCCCCGGAGCCGCTGTCCCGCGCCTGGGTCCCGCGCTGGGGGAAGCGCCTGCTGCTTATCTCTGTCTACCTCAGGTCTGACTTTTGATGCCAAAATCTGAGCCCCTGGGGTGCCTCTCCCCCGCCTCCCGTGCACCAGGGTCTGCAGCAGCCACTGGGGCCTGGTTGCCTGCTGCATCTGGCGGCCCTGGAGGGGGCCATGGGCCCCTTTGCACCCGCCCGCCTCGGTGTCTGGGGAGGGGCTGCGCAGGGCCGTGGGCTGGGTGGTCTCTCTCGGGCTGCGTGTGTTGCGCTCCCGTGTGCACGTGTGTGTGTCGGGAATCCTGCGTGTCGTGCCTGTGTGGGCGATCCGGCCCCCTGGCTGTGGGTGGGACTGGATTCTAACTCAGGGAACTTGGGCCTGCTGTTAACTTCGATGATTGTAGGGACAGGTGGGGCGGGCGGTGGGTGGGCACGGGGCTGGGTCCTGGGCGGCCTGGCGACTCCAGGAGAAGGAAATCACTGAAGGCAGTGGTCGTGGAAATGGGAGGGGGTCGCAGGGGGTCTGTGGGGCCCGGTCCTGGATACTGGGCAGGAAGCCTTGGTCTCCAGAGGGTACTCCCTGCCTCAGGTGGCCCCGTTCAACCCCAGCCGTACCCATCTCCCGCCACTGCCTGTCGGTGGGGGTTTAAAGTTGGGGTGGCTTTCTGGGGTGCAGCTCAGCATCCCCTCTTATGCAGACTGGGATGGGGTCGGGCACCTCCCTCAGCCACGAGGACCCTGGACGGGTTCGAGTTCTCTTGGGGCCGTGGGGTTAGCTGTGTACTGGGCGGGGACCCCACACTCGAGGCCGAGCGGGGGCTCTCCCTGCTCTGAGATGTTGGGGGACAGGCAGCTTCTGGAATCTTCAGTGGGACCCTTAAGTGGCCGTCAGGACAGGCGGGAGGGTGGGCATGGGGCACTGGGGAGAGCCGGGGTCGTTAAGGGTCACGCATCTGTACAGTCTGAATTTCCTTTATCTTTTTTTTTTTTTTTTACCCACTTTGTCCCTCTTTTCCCCTAATTGTGCTTTTGCATTTTTTTTTCTTGGCAAACGTAAACTCAGCCTTTCATTCGTGACGTGTGAAATTTCAGTTTCTCTGGGGTTTGTCAGAGGATGTGGGGACCACGCCTGAAACTTAGGTAATGGAAGAAAAAAAAATAGACTTTAAAAAAATTAAAAATAAAAGAATCATAAAACTACTCTCTACCTCTGGCTGGGCCCAGCCTTTCTTGCCCTGGCTGCAGCAGGGTGGCCTGTAACAATTTCAGTTTTTGCAGAACATCCAGGTATTGAAAGGAAAAAAAATAAAAAAAGACAAAAAGACCAGAAAAAAGGTGTGATTTTGAAATTTAAAAGAACGCTGAAAGTTTACATTTTATAATAGCATTATTATGCAGATTGTATTTTAACTTCAGAAATATTTAAGACGATTGTAACCCTGTAAAGCTGATAAGATATTAAAACGAGACAAAACACTTCTTTTAACAGAAAAAAAAAAGAAAGAAATTTCTTCTGTCAGATAATCTAAATCATCTCTCTGAAGTTCAAAGTTCCACAGATCTCTAGGGCAGGGGCAAAATGCTGCCAGTCTCTTTGCTAAAACATAACAAGAGTCACTTTTGCTCCAGTTCCCAACAAGTTGCTCATCTCCATCTGAGACCACCTCAGCCTGGCCCTTATTGTTCATATCACTATCAGCTTTTTTGTCAAAGCCATTCAACAAGTCTCTGGGAAGTTTCAAACTTTCCCATATTTTCCTGTCTTCTTCTGAGCCCTCTAAACTGTTCCAACCTCTGCCTTTTACCCAGTTCCAAAATTGCTTCCGCATTTTCGGATGTCTTTTCAGCAGCACCCCACTCTACTGGTACCAATTTACTGTATTAGTCTGTTTTCACGCTGCTGATAAAGGCATACCCAAGACTGGGCAATTTACAAAAGAAAGGTTTATTGGGCTTAACAGTTTCATGTGGCTGGGGAAGCCTTGCAACCCTGGCAGAAGGCAAGGAGGAGCAAGTCACGTCTTACATGGATGGCAGCAGGCAAAAAGAGAGAGAGCTTGTGCTTTATTTTTATTTTTGTTGTGCATATATGTGTATGTATTTATTTATTTATTTATTTTTATTTTAAGTTCTGGGATACATGTGCAGAACATGCAGTTTCGTTACATAGGTATACATGTCTCATGATGTTTTGCTTCACCTATCAACCTGTCATCTAGGTTTTTAAGCCCTGCATGCATTAGGTATTTATTCTAATGCTCTCGCTCCCCTTTCCCCCAACCATGACAGGCCCTGGGTGTGTGATGTTCCCCTCCGTGTGTCCATGAGGAACTCCTCTTTTTAAAACCATCAGATCGTGTAAGACTTATTCACTATCACGATAACAGCATGGGAAAGATTTGCCCCCATGATTCAATTACCTCCCACCAGGTCTCTCCCACAAAATATGGGAATTCAAGATGAGATTTCGGTGGGGACACAGCCAAACCATATCAAGTCCCTAGAGTGAGTAGGTGGGTGGAGCTTATAATTACTGGATTGGAAGCTCATCAATATCTTTTAAGATTTATATGTCATAATTTGTCCAGCATCTGAGTACTTTGTAGCATGAAATGCTTCATGTTACAATGAAGTATTAGTCTCACATATTATAGGCGCTGTCTTCATTTTCTGTTGCTGCATAATGAATTACCATAAATTCAGCTGCTTAAAATAATACGAATCTATTATCTCACAGTTTTAGTTGCCTGGGCACAACAATTTAGGTGTTGTCTGAGGTAACTTAGGGTTTCTGAGTCATATTCCTCATTTTCTTCTGTCTTCCTTCCACTGCCTAATTATGAAGCCACTCCTAGTCTCAATTATAAAATCTGTCTTTGTTTTCTGTTGCTGTACTGCCAATTACTACAAATTTAGCAGGTTCCAACTAAGCCATTTATAAATTCATAGTTTTGTAGGATAGAAATCTGGTGTGGTGAGGCCAGTTGCAGTGGCTCACACCTGTAATCCTAGCACTTTGGGAGGCCGAGGCAGGTGGATCTCCTGAGGTCAGGAGTTCAAGACCAGCCTGGCCAAAGTGGTGAAACCCTATCTCTACTAAAAATACAAAAATCAGCTGGGCGTGGTGGCGGGTGCCTGTAATCCCAGGTACTTGGGAGGCTAAGGTAGGAGAATTGCTTGAACCCAGGAGGCAGAGGTTGCAGTGAGCTGAGATCGTGCCATTGCACTCCAGCCTGGGCAACAAGAGTGAAACTCTGTCTCAAAAAAAAAAAAAAAAAAAAAAGAAAGAAAGAAAAAAAAAAGAAATCTGGTGTGGCTTGCTTGGGTTCTCTGCTCATCATCTCACAAAGCTGAAATCAAACTGCTGTGGGCTGTTTTCATCTGGAGGACTGAGCAAGGAAGAATCTGCTTCCAGCTTATCAGCACAATTGAGAGAATCCAATTCCTTGTGGTTGTAGAACTGGGATCCTGTTTGCTCACTGGCTGTCCACTGAGGCCACTGTCACATCCTAGAGGATACTGTATTACTTCAAAACTGCAATAGCATGTCAAATTCTTCTTGTGTTTTGAATCTCTGACTTCCTCTTTTGACATCAGCTGGAGAAAATTTTCTGCTTTGTAAGGACTCATATGATTAGAAAAATCTCCCCATGTTAGGGTCCATCCAGATAATCTCCTTATCAGTGAATCAGGACCTTAATTACATCGGCAAAATCTCTTCACAGCAGTATCTATATCAGTGTTTGAAAAACTGGGAGTAGGTGTGTATACAACAGGGTAAAAAATCTTGCCCATGGGCAGTGGGAGGAGGTATCTTATAATTCTGTCTACTATAAACATGTTGTTTCCTAAAATTTTCTCTTGAGTTGATTTAATACTATATTATTTTATTTTGGGGGGCAAAAGATATATAAAGTATTACAAATATTAATTTACTCAATGTAAATTTGGAGTGCCATTAATTGTTCCTCATGGCCTAAAAGGCTTAAAGCCCTGATAATAATCTCATTATAATAAACAACTTTGCAAGACACTGAATTGGTCCACTGACCTTTGTTTCAATTCATATGTCTTCAAAAATTCATCCCTCAATGTAAACAATCATAATAGACTCAACAGTCCAGAGAAATGGTGTAAATGGTGTACAAACTTCAAGAAGAGCTGTGTGTGTCTTTGTGTGTGTTTGTGTGTGATCACAAAACCTAGATATATGTTAACATGAAATATTATGGAAGAAAATTAATTTAAGGAAGTGAGGTGGAAATGCAAACACAGAAACCAAAAGATGGAACTGTCCCCACAAATTTTAGAAATAGATTGTGTTCCAAACATCAAATAAAATCAAGCCACAGAAAGGAAGAAAATACTAAATACACAAGTAAAATTTGCTGTTTTTCTCTCAGTCTCTATTTATTTTGTTTTCCACATGCTTTAAGTTGATCACTGTTTCCTTTACTCAGCAATGCAGAAGAGATGAGTGATAGGAAGAAATTACCATGGCAAATCATGAATAGATTGATAACAGCTAGTGACTACTTTGCAAGTAGTTATTTGAAACTACTTGCAAAGTAGACCGGGTAAAAATTTATATAACAAAATGCAAAAATTGAGTAATTAACCGCTGAGTTATAAGAATTTGACTTAACCCTGATAATTCCTGTTGAACAAGGACATTGGGTGTTCTTCTATTAATTCCTTAATCATGACTCGTAGATTGAAAATGAGAAACACTTCTTGATAGATAAAACACAGATCTTTTTTTTTTTTTTTTTTTTTTTGAGACGGAGTCTCGCTGTTGCCCAGGCTGGAGTGCAGTGGCCCGATCGCTGCTCACTGCAGGCTCCGCCCCCCGGGGTTCACGCCATTCTCCTGCCTCAGCCGCCCGAGTAGCTAGGACTACAGGCGCCCGCCACCTCGCCCGGCTAATTTTTTTTTTTTTTGTAGAGATGGGGTTACACTGTGTTAGCCAGGATGGTCTCGATCTCCTGACCTCGTGATCCGCCTGCCTTGGCCTCCCAAAGTGCTGGGATTACAGGCGTGAGCCACCGCGCCCGGCCAAAACACAGATCTTATAGCAACAAGAGGAAAGAACTATGGGCCAAATTTTCTTAGCTATGCTTGAAGTAAACTTTGACAACTAATCACTCTTTATTTTATTTAAGAATTCCCAACCAGGAGTAAAAGTCCAAACCTGACTTATAAGGCATATAATTTAAAAAATAATAAAGTGAAATAACTTAATACAAATAACAAAATGTTGAAGGTAGGCATGTTAAATCCACACTATCAGATTGGGTTTTAAAGAGAAGGAGAGGAGACTTCAAGCATTTAGAAATCAATAGGAAAAAGATTGTTCTATTTTTATACCATAATGCAAAGGAGGCAGAGTGATTTTAAGAACATTGAAGTTAAAAGCAATTAACTTGGCCGGGCGCGGTGGCTCACGCCTGTAATCCCAGCACTTTGGGAGGCCGAGGCGGGCGGATCACGAGGTCAGGAGATCGAGACCATCCCGGCTAAAACGGTGAAACCCCGTCTCTACTAAAAATACAAAAAAAAATTAGCCGGGCGTAGTGGCGGGCGCCTGTAGTCCCAGCTACTTGGGAGGCTGAGGCAGGAGAATGGCGTGAACCCGGGAGGCGGAGCTTGCAGTGAGCCGAGATCCCGCCACTGCACTCCAGCCTGGGCGACAGAGCGAGACTCCGTCTCAAAAAAAAAAAAAAAAAAAAAAGCAATTAACTTGGTAAAATAAAATAGAGGTAGGTAGATAATCAGATATATGTAAAAACAAACTTCAAAAATTATTTTAACATCATAATTTTAGATAAATTGAATCAGTGGCTTATTCTTGAAGGTATAGTAGCAAATGAGATGACTGTTAAGTAACAAACAACTTTTTGTTTGACATAGTTGAAGTTAGTACCATCTGTGTGCAAGAGACACCGTTCCTATCACACAGATAGCATGGGAAATACCTGCCTGCATGATTCAATTACCTCACACCAGGTCCCTCCCACGACACGTAGAAATTCAAGATGAGATTTGAGTGGGTGTGAGAAATCTACTCATCCATCCAAACCCAAAGAATGGACTTAGAGGCATGAAGAAAAGCGAAAGTGAGACTTAATAATGGTCTTGCAAGATTGGGTGTCTGGTAGGTAGGTACATCTGGGGCAGTCACAACAAGTAATTTATCTTCTAGTACGCAAGTCCCTCCCCAAGTTCCTCATTGGTTGAGTGCTATGGGGTTACAATTTTCCTGGATGTCACCTACGTTTCATTATCCCCCTTATAAGGTTATATCTCGGTCCTCTTTCTTGCTTGTTTCAATTTCCCAATAATGAAACTTTTTTCCCTTTTATGGGCTGACCCCTCCTTTTCATTGTTTGCTTACTGTGACCTTCTAGGTGCATGAGCAGTGCGGTTTGTTAAATTTGCAGGCTGGCTTCCAGTACTTTTGATTTATCATGCCTTGAAAATGGACCATTTAAAATGGTTTCTCATAAATTCCCTCCTCTTTTCTATTTATTTCCTTTGGTCTTCTTTTTATTTAAACCCTTTTGGTCTTTGAATCACTGGGGACGCAGCCAAACCATATCAGCATTTAAACACTGTTTCCTTATTAGGTAATCTGGATAATAAAACTCGCTCTTTCTACAATATGCCACATAAAATGGAAGTATAGATGTGACACTGTCATTAAATCTGTGAATTATATGTCATTATTTTTCTAAAACACATAAATCGTAGTGAAGTTATTCCATCTCAGAGACGGCCCATTTAACTATAATAAACTTCTAGGTATTCATTATATACTGTATTTTTTATCATCAAATCACTGATCAGATATTTTCCTTAATGATTTATTCTTCCATTTGACAAATAGATTTTGGGGCAAGTTCTTTGTTAGGTGTTGGCGTGGTAGCAGTGAAGAAAATTCAGCACTCGGGGACCCTGCTGTCTAATTGGGAAGAGCACATCGGGGGACACACAGACATGGGAACGTGCAGGGTTTTTAGAACTGAGAGACCCAATTGAGGCTCTCAGCAAAGTCATTTTTCAGGAAGTGGCATTTAAGCTGAGACCTAAATGATGATTTGTAGCCAGGAAAGAAATCCAGAGAGGGGGAGGGGAGACCACATAAGCAAAGACCTTGTGTCAGGAAAGAACTTTATACCAGAGACGGATGGAGGATGAGAGTGGAAGTCAGAAAGGCGGGGGCTGGGCCGGGCGCGGTGGCTCACGCCTGTAATCCTAGCACTTTGGGAGGCCGAGGCGGGTGGATCACAAGGTCATCAGATCGAGACCATCCTGGCTAACGTGGTGAAACCCCGTCTCTACTAAAAATACAAAAAAATTAGCCGGGCGTAGTGGTGGGCGCCTGTAGTCCCAGCTACTCGGGAGACTGAGGCAGGAGAATGGCGTGAACCCGGAAGGCGGAGCTTGCAGTGAGCCGAGATGGCACCACTGCACTCCAGCCTGGGTGACAGAGCGAGACTCCATCTCCCAAAAAAAAAAAAAAAAAAAAAAAAAAAAAAAAAAGGCGGGGGCTAAGTCACTGAGGCCTGAGGCTGCACAGGGAGCTGGATGGTGTCTTTGGAGGAAACAAAGACAAAGAGGTTCAAAGCTGCTCAAAGGTCTTGCAGGAAAGTGATAAAGTCAGATTTGCATCTTTTGAAAGGTCATGTTAGCATCTTTTAAAAGGTCATTTATAGGAGTCTGCCCCAGTACTGCACTGCATATGCCACATTGATTAATGGCAAACACCACTTGGGCCCTATTTCCTGCACATCGAACTTGTAATACAGCATGCTCTGCCATGATGGGGACAGTACGAGATAGTTCATTATGGGAAGACATGAGAACCTCCTTTGTCTTGAACATGAGATGGAGATGTGGAGATGTTAGGAAAATTAGCAGAAAGCAAGCGACTTCTTTACTGAGATCTGGAGAATGAAAAGAATCAGGTAGTAAGGAAATGATAGGTGGGTGTAAAGGGAATGTGGCAGGTGTCTGAGGTGGTGTGGGCAGAGCCCATGAAGCTAGAAAAATCATTCTTGTTCAGAGCGAAAATTGATTCAGTGTTTCTGAATAGTTGAATATTCTGCTCCATGAACTGCTTCCGAGTCTGGAAGGGGCATGGAATATGAGATGACATTGAAGATCAACTCGGGCATAAAGAATTTGGGATTTAATCCAAAGGCAAGGAGGAGCTCTTACAGTATCTGAGGGGCACATTTAAGAGCAAGACAGATTATTTTTCAGAGAATCTGGTGTACATTTTGGAAGGATACCCCTGACTGCAGTGTAATTCCAACATGAAGGGATTAGGACTTGAGGCAGGTGGCGTACATAGGATGCAGAAACTTATGCCAAGGATGATGGCACCCTAAGCAAGATGCCAGTCATCCAGACAGAGAAGAGTGGGCACATTCAAAATGTATTAAGAATGTGGCATCCACAGGGCTTAGAGTGCCACTGAGCGTCAACAGTCTGGAATATGTGTTTTAGCAACTGATAGGATGTTGCTGTCAAGATAGGGGACGCTAGAGAATAAGACAGCTTTGGACGAGAACAAAGGAGGTAATACTGGTTTCAAACAGACTGAGTATTGCACGCCTGTAATCCGGGCACTTTGGGAGGCCGAGGGGGCGTGGGGGTGGATCACCTGACGTTAGGAGTTCGAGACCAGCCTGGCCAATATGGTGAAACCCCGTCTCTACTAAAAATACAAAAATTAGCCGGGCACGGAGGCACCTCACCTGTAATCCCAGCTACTCTGAGGCTGAGGCAGGAGAATCGCTAGAACCCAGGAGACAGAAGTTGCGAAGGTTGCAGTGAGCCAAGATTGTGTCACTGCACTCCAGCCTGGGTGATTCCGTCTCAAACAAACAAACAAACAAACAAACAAATAGACTGAGTATTAATGGTCCGTGGCTCATGCAAGTGGAGGTGTCTGGTTAGCAGTTTGATATGAAAGACTGAGCTCCAGAGAGATCTCATAACTTGGGAATATGTTTTACTCCATACATATTCAGGTAAGACTAAAGATCCTGGGATTTTGGAGTCATGGGGGAAAGTGATATTATTCCTGAGCACTTGCTAGGAACTATCCCCAGGTTGCCTCAGGACCAGCCCCTCTCACTACAGTAACCCCATAAAGCAGTGCCTACACTTTACATTTTATGGGTTCGAAACCAGCTCAGTGGGACTTAGTTAACTGCCCACAGTCAAGTGTCAGCATCAAAACTGGAGTCTCACCCAAAGCCAGCTGACCCCAAAGCTCACACTCCTGTAAGATGTAATTGCTTAAGAGATCTTAGACCTCACCTGATCCAATCTCCTCTTTTCTTTCCCCCCTGAGACAAAGTCTCGCTCTGTCACCCAGGCTGGAGTGCAGTGGCGTGATCTCGGCTCACTGCAACCTCCACCTCCCGGGTTCAAGCGATTCTCCTGCCTTGGCCTCCCGAGTAGCTGGGGCTACAGATGTGTGCCACCACACCTGGCTAAATTTTTTTTTTGTTTTTTGTATTTTTAGTACAGACGGGGTTTCACCGTGTTAGCCAAGATGGTCTCAGTCTCCCGACCTTGTGATCTGTCCGCCTCGGCCTCCCAAAGCGTTGGGATTACTGGTGTGAGCCACCGTGCCCGGCCTCCTCATTTTCTTTAACAGATGTTTTTGGTTAAAACTCCTGAGTTGATTTGTTTTCATTACTCAAAGCATAATACAGCAACAATGATTAAGAACAAAGACTCCAGAGCCTTACAAAGCTCCCTGCTCACTGAACGTGGGCTCTGGGTGAAATCCCTTAACCTCATTGTGCCTGAGTTTCCTCATCTGGAAAATTATGAGTTCTCACTTCAGAGAGATGCACTGAGTGTGCATGCACAATAAGTGCTGTTTTATTTTTACTAATGTACATATTTGTAGACCACAAATGCATTTTTATAAAAGTTTCAAACAATGTCTAAGTTTAGCTAGTAAATTTCTCTAAACACACTGTGTTGTCTGGCTGCATTCTAGCATCAATGGAATATTACTTTATGCATTATTATCTGACTTCCTTTCTTCTCTCATGTCATTTCTGTCTTGGTGATCTCTCCGTGTCACGCCGTAGCTAGGTTTCTCTCCTACTTTCTCACAGCTGCACCCTGCTAGATAGCAAGGATTCAGAATGATTTTTCTATCCCTCACTGATAACATTCTAGAGAGTTGTCAGGTTTTTAGAAATTATTATTACAAACAGTGCTGCAGTAAACATTCTACTACATATTAGGGGGATGTTTTGTCCTTATTTGAGAATTTCTGTAAGAAAAATGCCTATGTCCTAACACCGGATGTAAAACATATAAATAGTTTATGCTAGAGCAAGAGGTTCATATACTGAGTGTTTCTAAAATATTTTTTTGATTTAATAGTTTATTACTTTCATTGTGTAACTGTACATGCTCCAAGTACATTCTACAGGAAAATCTCAAACACTTCAGGAAAGCAGTAAACATTACCATAATGTGATAAAATTGGTATTTTATTAATTTTAAATTATATTTCTAACACATAAGCCATATTACCCTTGACAAGGTACTCTTGTTAGGAGTCAGACAAATTTATGAATGTGTGCAATCTCTATTCTATTTCTGTCTAGAACTATATTTCTTTAAAAACTAGTAGCTCACATTCTTAGCAAACTAACATAGAGAAAAGAATAGAGGTTTTCAAGTTGGAAGATCTTAATCAGTGTGGTTTTTAAAGTTTCACCTTATTGAGTTGAATGAACAATGGGAGATCATAGTATTAATTATTCAAAAGTGATTAATGCAGGTTAAATGCCAATAGGCTGGAAGAGCATGTAAATGCATCGCTAAGCTCTTAGCAACTATAAAGATTTGTTTGTTTACATATTTCACCATATGGATATCATTGAACTCTTCAGCCTTATAATGGATATTTTGTGAATAAAATATTATTTTGCAAGAAATAAAAAATAGTGTTTGTCTTTAAGCATTGCACTGTTGAGACTACATTTACTCAATAGTTCAAAAAAGGTAATTTAGTGCTAGGAATATCATCTCCCCTGAGCATAGCTGCAATATGCTCTATACACAGGGAATTATCTGTTTTAAGATTTGGTATAATGGGGCCCGGCTCAGTGGCTCACGCCTGTGATCCCAGCACTTTGGGAGGCTGAGGTGGGCGGATCACCTGAGGTCAGGAGTTTGAGACCATCCTGGCCAACATTGTAACACCCCATCTCTACTAAAAATACAAAAAATTAGCTGGGCATAGTGGGGCACGCCTGTAGTCTCAGCTACTTGGGAGACCAAAGCAGGTGAATCGCTTGAACATGGGAGGCGGAAGTTGCAGTGAGCCAAGATTGTGCCACTGCACTCCAGCCTGGGCAACACAGCGAGACTCTGTCTCAATAAACAAACAAACAAACAAACAAAGAATAAATTAAAAAGATTTCATATAATGAGGCAGCTGCTTTTAACTGGAATGCAATAAATCCTCACATACTTTCGAAAGACTGACTTTGGTGAGATAGCATACTAGGCATAGAGAGACAGGGACCTCACTTTCAGGATTGTCACAACTCAGTGCCTGACATAGGCATGTAGGCAAACCTCATGCCGGGAAGTTCAGAAAAGGGAGGAAATAATGCGTGGCAAAGGAGGCCAGGAAACACTCCATCTTACAGCTCTGTAAATCAGAGGTCTGCCACAGTCTTTCTGGGCTAACGTCTGTGCGTCACTCGGACTATCATAGACTCAACATTCTTTAAAGACCTGAAATTGCAAATTATTTTATTTCCTGGTGCAAAACCAGGTGCCCGTCACCCACCCATCACCCAACACACATACACTTCTTTTGCAAATTGCTACAGTTACAACAAAGTTGTGGTCAATTTGCAGTAACAATTAAAGATGTCCATAGGTGTGAAGAGCTGAGGTAAGGAAAGTCACATTCTCCTTATATGAGCCTGACTCACAAAGGACTTACTGTGAAGGAAGGTGAGAGAGTCCTGGAGAGGCTACATGAGATTGCTGAGCCCTTTCAGAACCCACTTCTCAGGCATTGCTGGTTGCATGAGGTTACAGTTTATTGGACCTGCCCCATTACCTGGTGGAGTGACCTGTGCATCTCTTCGAATCTCCCAGAAAGAGATTTGGGCTCATGGGGCCTGAGGGCCTGAGAGGCTGCTCCATAAGAGCTCAGTCTTCACAACTCACTTCAGCCGCTACTACGGACACTATGGAGCACTTCTTTTTTTGTTGCGGTTGAGTTTTGCTCTGTCACCCAGGCTGGAGTGCAGTGGTGCAACCTCGGCTCACTGCAACCTCCACCTCCTGGGTTCAAGCGATTCTCGTGCCTCAGCCTCCTGAGTAGCTGGGATTACAGGCATATGCCACCACACCCAGCTAATTTTCGTTGTTTTTTTTATTTGTTTGTTTTTTTGAGACGGAGTCTTGCTCTGTCACCCAGGCTGGAGTGCAGTGGCATGATCTCGGGTCTCTGCAAGCTCTGCCTCCCCGGTTCACACCATTCTCCTGCCTCAGCCTCCCGAGTAGCTGGGACTACAGATGCCTGTCACCATGCCCGGCTAATTTTTTTTTGTATTTTTAGTAGAGACGGGGTTTCACCATGTTAGCCAGGATGGTCTCAATCTCCTGACCTCGTGATCCACCTGCCTCGGCCTCCCATAGTGCTGGGATTACAGGCGTGAGCCATCGCGCCCGGCCAATTTTCATACTTTTAGCAGAGATGGTGTTTCACTGTGTTGGCCAGGCTGGTCTTGAACTCCTGACCTCAAGTGATCTGCCCACCTCGGCCTCCCAAAGTGCTGCAATTACAGGCATGAGCCACCACGCCCAGGCACTATGGGGCACTTCTAAGGACTTTTGGGCTTTGGAGAATACCAACCTAGCAGAAATGGTTCCTTTTGGAAAGGACATTGGATGACATCAAATGCTCAGCATAAAGTATATGCTTTGGGTACCTGTCACTCTTCTAGGTTACCCTCATGAAAATTGTATGAGGAAGTTATTGTGGAGAAGCGATGAGGCGGGGTCATAGAGAGAACAGGGACTAAGAGGGTGCAAGAAGTTGGGGAAGTTGCAGAGCTAGGTGACAGAGGAGCATAGCAGAAGAAAAAGCCTCGGTGTTGGGAGAAAACATGAAGAAAAAATAAGTTCTGTGCTTGGTCTTATGATATGAACTGCCTGATGCTGGTGGCATGAGGGAAGGTTGCTTTAGCTATAAACGTACAACATCCATCAATATTCCACAGTACTCCACATTGTCTTTCTCCAAGCACTCTCCAGAGAAACAGACACCACTCATCAGTGGGAGAAAACTGAAGCATTTTGTAGAAGAATCTCCAATTATAAAGAGTCAATGAATGGATCCTTTTTATACGTGAGACTCCTGACCACATTGCATCTCGAAGGCACCTTGTTATCATTGTCATGTGACAGTTTTTGAATCTGGTGTTTTTCTTTCTGCAATAGTAAGGCCAATCCTGCAGGGACCGAAGTCTGTGCAATCACTGTGAAACACAGCTGGAAATAAGGCAGGAAGAACTTACAGAGCTCAAACGTGCCCATCAGAATATTTCGAAACATAAGTTACAGTATAGGAATTCTCCCCTAAAGTCTCCAAACTGGAGTGAGAACAGCTGAATCACTTTCATGATACAAAAACATTCGCAGAATCTCTATGAAATTATGAAAATTAAATTCTAAGGTGCATTTTCATAAATGGGGTGGTTGCTGTGTTTATTTTCTGTTGCTGCAAATTTTGCCACAGACTCACTGGCTTAAAATGATATGCATTTATTATGTCATATGTCTCCCGATCCATGGGAGTCTGCTTGGGGTCTCGTGAGGTTGGAATCAAGATGTTGCCTGGATACATTCTCATCTTGGAGGCTCAGCCAGGGAAAGAGCTGCTTCCAAGACCCCTCAGGTTATCAGCAGAATTTGTTTCCTTGTGATTGTATGACTCAGTATGCACCATCTTCCTAGCTGCCAGCTGCAGACCCCTCTCAGCTTCCAGAGATTCCTCTCAAGGCCTCCCCACGCGGCCTTGCATCTCAGCAGCAGAGAAACTCTCGCATCATCAACTCTCTCAGGCTTCTCACCTCTCCGACTTCTTCAAAGTTCTGATTAAGTCAGGTGCACCTCTGATTAAGTCAATGCACTCAAATAATATCCCTATCTTAGTGACAATTGTGCCATACAAATGACCTAATTACAGGAGTCAAACACATTATATTCATGGTTCCCGGGGTTAGGCAGGGTTTGTATGCCAGGTGGATGGGATATCGCCTTGGGAGCGCCATCTTTAGAATCCTGCCTACCACAAATCCCAATTCTATAACACAAAAGGCCTGAGTGCTTCATCGCCATCACAGCAGGAGGTATAAGTTTCCCAGATACCCAAAGGTATCTGCTGTCTGTCTCCACCTAACATCCTATGTTCATACCAGGTGGTGAAAAATCCACTCATCATCCATACCATTCAGAAGCATACAGCCTGGATTTTGTCATTCTAGTTCTTGTCACTGTGTGTTTGAGCACATATTAGCTAGAGAAGCTCTTTCATCATCAGCTCTACACAGTGCAATCCTCAAAATGCCCACCGTTATCCAGAGGTTACCAATCTCTCTCTTTTAATTACACTTAAACTAGCAGAAATCTTCTTCATATCATTAACCCAAATGGAGAAAAGAAAGCTAGAAAATTATACATCTATTTTTCCACCAAGAGAGAAGAAAAAGAACATTTTCCTCCCACATTTATTGTGCCTTCAAGTGGTTATAGCAACCTGTTAAGATCAGCCAGTGTCGTTAAACTGCTTCCCAGCGAATACAGCCAGTGAAGCTGAAAGAGATAATAAAGTTTCTTAGGAGACTGACTACTAGACTAGCTTGACACTGGCTCCATACAGAAGAAAAAATAAATCAGTAGTTACACCTCTAGCAGCTACTGACTAGACATCCTTGCATTAAGGGTGGGAAATTCAATATACAAAGAAGCAAAGTGTTGACAATAAAAAGAAAGTAAAAACTGAAAGAAAACTGTAATTGGATTGAATATGGCTAAAATCAAGATATGAAAAAGCAGAAAACAAAGCCAATTCAAACCCTGAAGAAAGAATAAATGAGAAAATAAATGAAAAAAATTAATTGGCTCAGCAAGTCATGACTGGAAAAAATAATTAACATTATTAAATTATTCTACCTTCGGGCATGGAATAAAATGAAGATGTAAGTATTAACGTTAATTTCAATCTATTTATGAATGGTAAATTGCTTTCTCCTTCCTCTTTGTATGTTTAGGTCTGGGAAATTTGTTTGGAATTAGCAACCTGGGATGAGGTTTATTAAGACAGAATGACTATGAACTTGCCTGCAAAGTGGCCGCTCCTTTCTTCCCTTCTTTTCTATCAGGTCATTCGCCCATTGAGAGGTGGTATCTATTTCTGTGCCCCCATGAATCTGCATTTGCAGATTCCAAGATTAGGACATAAGAAGCTTTTTAGCTTTTGCCTGGGTCTCGTGGAATGCAGGGGAATCTGGGGAAAGCCAAGCTCTCTACAAAAACTCTGACTAGCCCAAGACTGTCATACTGTGAGGAACCTCAAGCTTGTCACATGGAGAGGCTGTGTGGAGACCAAGTTACCTGACCAGCTCCTAGCTCTTCAATCCATAGCATTCCAGGTGCCAGGTATAGAGGTGCAGAAGCTTTCTGACAGCTTCAGCCTTGTCTGCCATCTGAGGAGTCACAAGTGAGAACTAATCTGGAGTAATCAACATCACCATCCCCTGCCATGAAATCAATGCAGTGTGTTCATTCACTAAATTAGGAGGCAGCTTGTTCTATGCAGTGGTACAGAACAGGAACAATGATGCCTAGGGCTGGGGTACAGGTTGTGAAGGAAGAAATTTCATGTCGGCAAAACTTCAGAGCACATTACATATTTTGTTTGTTTGTTTGTTTGTTTGTTTGTTTGAGATGGAGTCTTGCTCTGTCGCCCAGGCTGGAGTGCAGTGGCGCAATCCCGACTCACTGCAAGCTCTGCCTCCCGGGTTCACGCCATTCTCCTGCCTCCTAAGTAGCTGGGACTACAGGTGCCTGCCACCACGCCCAGCTAATTTTTTGTATTTTTAGTAGAGACGGGGTTTCACCATGTTAGCCAGGATGGTCTCGATCTCCTGACCTCGTGATCCACCCACCTCGGCCTCCCAAAGTGCTGGGATTACAGGCGTGAGCCACTGCGCCTGGCGAGCATATGAAATCTTAAAGGTCACGCAGCTGAATTTCTGAGCTTAAAAAAAGGAAACCAGGTACTCAAAGAAGCTGTGACCTGCCGAAAGTCACCCAGCAAATTAATAGTGGAACCAAAGCAAAAATCAAGTTTTCAGCATGTAATGTCCTTACACCACGTAAAAAAGGTTTGGGTTCCTTAGTTTGAGAAACATCAATACCCCTTCATAAATCAAGGGCATAAACTTTGCAGAAAAATTAAACTTCTTACCACCTGGCATCCAAACTGGAGTGAGAACAGCTTTGCCACATCTACATTCCCACTCCTACTCAGAAGACAGACTCCAAGAAGCATAAAACTTCTGGAGTCCTGGGGTAACCTGAGCAAAGCCCATGATAGGTTTCCAGGAAGCAAGGGCATGAGCAGGGGTGGAGACTGAAGCCCCATCCCTGCAAGGGTCCACTCTGAACCTCAAGGCCCATAATCCTCCCCCATATTTCTCTGCTCTGCCATTTTTGGGTGCTCTGTCAAGTCCCAAACCCCTTAGTAAGTCTGTCTTTTCTTCTACTCTAAGCACCTCTATTCTTCTAGCTCACCCTTTCACTGTGGTCCTGCCTTCCAGCTCTTTCCTTCTGTGCCCTCTGGGAACTCATTACATTTTCAAAAAGGACTATCTCAACATCATCACAGAATGCCCTTGTATAGCATAGCGTTTGAGAGTATGGCTTGGAAGCAACAGTCTGGATTTCTAATGCAGACTCCACCATTTACCAGTCACAAGCCTTAACAAGTCACTTAATGTCTCTGAACTTCAGTATCTTCCACTGTAAAATGAAGGTATCCATTGTGAAGATTAAATAAGATGATGCCCATAAAATGCACAGGCTAATACCTGGCACACAAAAAAATAATAAAACAACAAAAAAAGGGTTGACTATACATCCTCAACTCCACTGAAGCCTAGACCACCATTTGCAATGCCCTTGTAGAACTCATTATTTCCATAGTTTGTCTACCATAGCATCAGGAAACATTTCTGGTAAATTTCCATCAATTCCTGGTTACTGGTGTTCATAAAAAGAAGCAAGTAGGCTAGGCGCCGTGGCTCAAGCCTGCAATCCCAGCACTTTGGGAGGCCGAGGCGGGCAGATTATGAGGTCAGGAGATTGAGACCATCCTGGCTAACACGGTGAAACCCTGTCTCTACTAAAAATACAAAAAAATATTAGCCAGGCTTGGTGGCGGGCGCCTGTAGTCCCAGCTACTCAGGAGGCTGATGCAGGAGAATGGCGTGAACCTGGGAAGCGGAGCTTGCAGTGAGCCGAGATCGGGCCACTGCACTCCAGCTTGGGCGATGCAGCGAGACTCAGTCTCAAAAAAAAAAAAAAAAAAAAAAAGCAAGCAAGCAAACAAAATGACAATCTCACTTATCCTTTTAGACAAATATCAGCTGATTACAGCAACCTCTACCATTTCTAGCAAGTGTCATCTTCCAAATGGATCATTTTCTTACATCCATCACCATCTTCTCAATTCCTCAATCTTCAATTTCCTTGTGGATGACACTTAAGTGCTAGGAACTTGCAATTCCTTCATGTGTAAATGACCTTCACTGTTGCTCCTTTTCAGCACCCATGCCATGGACCTACTTGGAACTTCTCATGACCTAGGATGGTACCATCTTTTTTTTTTTTTTTTTGAGATGGAGTCTCGCTCTGTCGCCCAGGCTGGAGTGCAGTGGTGCAATCTAGGCTCACTGCAAGCTCCGCCTCCCGGGTTCTCGCCATTCTCCTGCCTCAGCCTCCCGAGTAGTAGGGACTACAGACGCCCACCACCACGCCTGGCTAATTTTTTTTTTTTTTTTGTATTTTTAGTAGAGACGGGGTTTCACCGCGTTATCCAGGATGGTCTCGATCTCCTGACCTCGTGATCCGCCTGCCTTGACCTCCCAAAATGCTGGAATTACTGGCGTGAGCCACCGCGCCCAGCCAGGATGGTACTATCTTTAAGGATTTTTTTTTTTTTTTTTTTAGATGGAGTCTATCTCTGTCGCCAGGCTGGAGTGCAGTGGTGTGATCTCGGCTCAGTGCAACCTCCGCCTACTGGCTTCATGCCATTCTCCTGCCTCAGCCTCCCAAGTAGCTGGGACTACAGACGCCCGCCACCACGCCCGGCTAATTTTTTGTATTTTTAGTAGAGACGGGGTTTCACTGTGTTAGCCAGGATGGTCTCGATCTCCTGACCTCGTGATCCGCCCGCCTCAGCCTCCCAAAGTGCTGGGATTACAGGCTTGAGCCACTGCACCCAGCCACATACTTTTTAAGATAATAAATTATCCAATACTATCTAACTATGGAGACTATCACTGGGTTCATTCATAAGATATAGTGACCTTAACCCCATTCATTCAAACCATATCAGATTCTCTTTTTTTAGTGCATTGAAACATTATTCTTTGCCAACCTTCTGTATTGATAAACATCAGGATGGCACCAAAAATCTAAAATATGCAATTCTGTAAAATGTGGCTGTTGTAAATGTGAATTTGGTGGGAACTTAATACCTGAACCATTATTTCCTCAGTTGGCAAAGTGAAGCTATTTCCTCTTCTTTATGAGATTGCAGCAGAAACATGCAATTTAAAAAGCAGGAGAGAATTAGGGATCACTCAGGCCCAACACGATTCCACCATAACCCTCATTTTTCAACCAAAGTAAAAGAATCTCATGCATGTTGCGTGACTAGCTGTTGGAAATGTTCTTGTTAAGACCCCTTCATGAGTAGTACCATGTCTTCTGGCTCTCGGCCTGCTGCTCTGTCCACATGACATAGAAGAGTCACAACAAGGTGACAGACAGTCACAAGTGCTGCAAAACCATTGAACAAATGAACAACTGTGGGTTCCTTGTCAGTTACTAGCAAAACAAAGGTGCAAAACTAAAATTGTTATATTTATATTTATACCATTAATAAATGTTACAAGGTTATAAACATCATACAATGTATGAGGGATTCCTGTTATCTTTCTTATAAACCCACTGTATAGATGCTTTCCCACACATGCTGTTCTATCAGAGACCCTTTTCCTGTTTCTGCCTGCCTTCTTGATCTCATCCAAAAGGTCAGAAGAGTCTGGCTCTCACCTGCAGGTTCAGGGAAGCCCCAGTAGCACACTCATGGCTTTCTACTCTCTCCTATTCTCCACTGCAACTTAAAGATCCTTCACATCTTACCTCAAGACAACAACTCCATGGTCATGGCAAAGCATTGAGTATAACTACTATATATTTTTTACAAATATACTTTAAATTATCTCATATCAATGAAAAGAAACACATATATGGAGTAAAAAAAAAGTCATTCACTTCACACCACTGGCTCTCTCACTTGGGGATCAGGGAACACTAATTTCTTGAAGATCCTTCCAGAAATAATCCTGTACCTTTATATGCATGTATATGTATAAATCTTTTTTGGAAATTTCAACTGAGAACATATTTTGGGGTTCCCACGACTACATCATGGTCATGATTTGCTCAGTGATTCACCGGAAGGACTCATATAAGTCAAAAAGTTATGCTTACAGCTAAGATATATTACTGCAAAGGATACTGTGCAGGAACTGTGAGACACAGGCATGCATAAGCAAAGACTAGAGAGGTCAGGCCCAGGTTTCCACGTTCCCTCTCTCGCGGGAATTGTGCAGACACGCCCTTTCTGGCTGCAAACTGCGGAGATGTGTGTCAGGCATCTCCACCTCAGAAAGTCCGCTCATTAGTGACCAGCCTGCCCAACATGGCGAAATCCCGTCTCTTCTAAACATACAAAAAATTAGCCGGGCGTGATGACGGGCACCTGTAATCCCAGCTACTAGGGAGGCTGAGGCAGGAGAATTGCTTGAATTCAGGAGGCTGAGCTTGCAGTGAGCCGAGATCACGCCATTGCTCTCCAGCCTGGGCGACCAGAGCGAAACTCTGTCTCAAACAAACAACAAAAAAAGTCCACTCAAATCTCAGAATCCAGAGTTCTTAAAGGCTGCTGATCACACAGCTACCCAACCAGCCAAGTTGCAGATGCCAAACAGGCACCAGGTACACTTCATGAATTTTCATGTTTAAACAATGCTGTCAGCCTGGTACATCCTGACCCACTGCCTGGGCCATAGAGAATACAATCTTAATCACTGACCAAACGAACATTCCTGACGTTAGTTCTGTGGCTCCAAGCTTTCCCAGAGATTAAAAAGAGCTGAGTAAAACAAACCTATTGTAGTAACTTTTTATTCACAGAGCACAATATGCACACTATTCTGTATCTTGCCTTTTTAAAAGGCAATATATATTAACGTTATCAGTAAATATGACCTTATTTTTTCATGGCTGCATGTTATTCTGGGGCATGGAGGCACTATTATTTGCTTAGTCAGCCACCTATTGCTGGAGAACTGGACCTGTACTATTTCACTGTTATAAAAATTGATACAATTAACATCTCCATTTAGTGGGGGATATGAGTATTTCTCATAAGAATCACCATTTAGAAAAGAATGAATATGGCCGGTCTTGGTGGCTCATGCCTGTAATCCCAGCACTTTGGGAGGCCAAAGCAGGCGGATCACAAGGTCAGGAGTTCGAGACCAGCCTGGCCAATATGGTGAAACTAAAAAAAAAAATACAAAAATAGCCAGGCGTGGTGGCAGGCGCCTGTAGTCCCAGCTACTCAGTAGGCTGAAGCAAGAGAATCGCTTGAACCGGGGAAGTGGAGGTTGCAGGGAGCCAAGATCGCACCACTGTACTCCAGCCTGGGTGACAAGCAAGACTCCATCTCAAAAAAAAAAAAAAAAAAGAAGAAGAAGAAGAAGAAAAGAAAATAATGAATATGAAAGTGGACTTATAGTAACCCACCAGCCTCCTTGTGGATTGCCTTCTTCCACTCAGAAAAGTTGTCATTTATTTATTTGTATGACATTGCCAATTATCCCTCTTGTGTTATTTTTAAAATTTTCCCACCAGCCGTCTAAATGACTGTCACCTCCTCCCCACGCCCTAAGGCAGCAATTTCTGATTTGGAACCATGGGAATTTCACTTTCACAATTTCATCTGCCAACATGCAATAACATCTGTCTCTATGCTGATGTGGTTGTGCATCTGGGCTTGGGTTTAAATCTCTGTACCACCTTAACTAGCAAAGTGACATTATGCAACTGACAATCTCTTGTGATTTTTCTGTGAATTAATTGAATATTTATGTGTAACACACCAAGTGTTCTGCAAATGCTAGCTTTACTGGATTATTTAGTATTCTAATTTAAATTGATAAAATTCTTTTTATGATTGTCTTCTGCTAAGCAGTAATATTTAAGGCTGATGTGTGATTTATATATTATTCCAAGACATATAACTACAAGAAATATGCTTTTCCTATCCATAGTTTTAAAAGCACTGTGTTAATCAACAGAATATTATTAAATATTTGGACAGTATCAGTTTGAAAAGTTAAGTGAAGTTATATCTCATTGCTGTGACCCTTCTTTTGTGGTACGTTCTTCAAGGTAAAAACAAAATATGTATCAATCAAATGAAACACTGTTTTGTTCTGAATGTTAAATTCGCTTTAAGTAATTGCTTATTGTTTTTCTTCTAAAATGCCATATTCCCAGGATGTTCTAGGAACTTCTGTTTGGCAAAAGTAAAATCCTTATCACATGAAGGACCTGCACGGTAGGAAAGAAAATTATCTTACATTTTAAGTTGTCAGTGAATTTGAATAGTAATTCCCAACTTGAACTCATGAGAAGTAGTTAACCTTTTCAATTAGAGTTCTGATGAGTTTTTAATATAAGCAATAAATCCCTAATTATTATTACAGAAAGCACAAATTAGGGAAAAATTACAGTCCTCAAAGACATGGCTAAATCTAAACTCTTAGGTGCCTGGAAATTATTTACTGATAGAAGTAATTAGAGAAGAAACCTGGTGCTTTGTTCCACTAGAGCGATAGCTGCTGGGAAGAAGGCACCTCTTGGATGCATAGACATCAGGGAGCAGTGTCTGGAGCTGGGTTCATCAGGGAGCAGTGTCTGGAGCTGGGTTCTTTTTTTCTGAGATGGAGTCTTGCTCTGTTGTCCAGGCTGGAGTGCAGTGGTATGATCTCCGCTCACTGCAACCTCTGCCTCCTGGGTTGAAGCGATTCTCCTGCCTCAGCCTCCTGACTAGCTGGGATTACAGGTGCCTGCCTGCCAGCACACCCAGCTCGTTTTTGCATTTTTAGTAGAGAGGGGGTTTCACTGTGTTGGCCAGGCTGGTCTGGAACTCCTGACCACAGGTGATCCACCTGTCTCTGCCTCCCAAAGTGCTGGGATTACAGGCATGAGCCACCACGCCTGGCCTGGAGCTGGGTTCTTAAGGCCCATCCAATTGCAGGGATAGGCAGTAGGTCAGGGTGGCACATGAACACAGTTTGGAAAAGTCTACACAATTTCAGACGGCTGAAAGTTGAGGTAAAAGGCCGAAATTAAACCAGTCTATTCCACAGAATAAATGTTCTTGTTGATATTTGAAGTGCACCCAAGAAGTACAGAGTTGCAAATGATTCACTAAATTTACTTCATTCTGCTCCAAGTACCTAAGGGTACAAGGAATTGGAATCTTCTGCCTTCCTTTTTAGGGGACAGATGAGAAATAGAGAAAGGGAAGCCTCTGAGAACGGGGAGGTAGAAGGGAGAGCAAAGGGTCTGTTGTAAGGGGTGTGGGAGAGACAGCAGATTTGGAAGCAGGGTACATCCAGCCCTCTCTGGCCTTCTTGGATGAGCCTCTCTCCTCCCATCTTTGGGACTACAATGGGGATTACCTCGTTTTTGTTTTTTTGAAGAAAGCATGGTTACATTTGTCTTATATATTTTTTAATTTGTATGAATTTATGAGTAACAAGTGCAATTTTGTTACATACATAGTGGTCAAGGCAGAGCTTTTAGGGTATCCATCACCCAAATGCTGTAGATTGTACCCATTAGTAATTTCTCATCATCCCCCCACAATTCTGAGTCCCCACTGCCTATCATTCCACTGTCTACATCCAGGCAGACACTTTTTTTAGCACTCACTTATGAGCGATATTTTTCTATATCTGGCTTATTTCGCTTAAGATAATGACCTCCAGTTCCAACCATGTTGCTGCAAAATACGTGATTTCATTCTTTTTGTGGCTGAATAGAATTCTATCAGGTATATATACCACATGTTCTTTATCCAGTCATCCACTGGTGGTCCCTTAGGTTGATTCTATATCTTTTCTATTGTGAATAGTGCTGCAAGAAACATGAGTGCAGGTACCTCTTTGATATATTGATTTATTTTCCTTTGAGTAGATACCCAGTAGTGAGGTTGTGGGATCGAACAGTCGTTCTAGTTTTAGTTCTTTGGGAAATCTCTATTTTCAATAAAGGTTGTACTAATTTACATTCCCATCAACAGCATATAAACATTCCTTTTTCTCCATATCCTCACCAACATAGCAGATGAGACATTTTATCTTTTTAATAATAGCCATTTTAATGAAGATGATATCTTATTATGGTTTTAATTTACATTTCTCTGATGATTAGTGTTGAGCATTTTTTTTATATGCCCATGCTGGCCATTTGTGTGTCTTCTTTTGAAAAATGTCTATTTATATCCTTTGACCACTTTTAAAGAACATTATTTGTTCTTTGTCTTTTTTTTTTTAATTTTTTTTTTAGACAGAGTTTCCCTCTGTCGCGAAGGCTGGAGTGCAATGTGGAGTGCAATGGTGCAACTTTGGCTCACTGCAACCTCCACCTCCCAGATTCAAGGGATTCTTGCCTCTCAGCCTCCCGAATAGCTGGGATTACATGTTCCCACCACCATGCCCGGCTAATTTTTGTAGTTTTAGTAGAGACGGGCTATCGCTATGTTGGCCAGGCGGGTCTCAAACTCCTTAAGTGGTCCAGTCGTCCTGGCCTCTGAAAGTGCTGGGATTATAAACGTGAGCCACCATGCCTGGCCTTGTTTGCGCTTTTTGTTGTTGTTGTTTGTTGAGGGAGTCGTTTGAGCTTCTTCTATATTCTGGATATTAGTCCCCTATGGGATAAATAGTTTTCAAATATTTTCTCCTATTCTCTTATTGCCTGTTTACACACCTGGTTATTTCTTTTGCTGTGCAGAAGCTTTTTAGTTTAATTGTCCCATTTGTCTAATTTTGGTTTTATTCCCTGTCCTTTTAGGTCTTAAGTCATAAATTCTTTGCCTAGACCAATGTCCAGAAGAATTTTCTCAAGGTTTTTAGTATTTTGATAGCTTTGGGTCTTACATTTAAGTCTTTAATACATCTTAAGTTGATTTTTGCATATGGTGAGAGATAAGGGTCTGTGTCCAGATTTGATTCCTGCCAGTGGGTTGGTGGTCTCACTGACTTCAAGAATGAAGTCACAGACTTTCACAGTGAGTGTTACAGCTTTTAAAGGTGGCACGGACCCAAAGAGTGAGCAGCAGCAAGATTCACTGTGAAAAGCGAAAGAACACAGCTTCCACGCATAGAAGGTAACCCAAGCAGATTGCCACTGCCAGCTGAGGTGGCCAGCTTTTATTCCCTTATTTGTCCCTGCCCATGTTTGGTTTTTGTCCTATCAGAGTGCCCTTTTTTCAATCCTCCCTGTGATTGGCTACTTTTAGCTACTGCTGATTGGTGCGTTTTACAGAGCACTGATTGGTGCATTTTACAGAGCGTTGATTGGTGCATTTTACAATCCTCTTGCTAGCTACAGAGCGCTGATTTACGATCCTCTTTTAAGACAGAAAAGTTCTCCAAATCCCCACTCGACCCAGGAAGTCCAGCTGGCTTCACCTCTCAGGTTCTGTTTTATTTTCCTGCATATGGCTATCTAATTTCCCAGCACCGTTTATTGAAAAGGATGTCAAGTGATTTTTCTGCATCTATTGAGGTTTTTAATCCTTCATTCTATTTTCGTGATGTATCACATTTATTAATTTGCATATGTTGAACTATCCTTCCATTCCTTATGTACAACCCACTTGATCATGGTGTATTACCTTTTTGATGTGCTCTTGAATTCCATTTGCTAGTATTTTGTTGAGGATATTTGCGTCTATGTTTATCAGAGATATTGGCATGTAGTTTTCTTTTTTTGTTTTGTTTTGTCTTTGTCTGGTTTTAGTATCAGAGTGATACTGGCCTTGTTACATGAGGAATGAAGAAGTCCCTCCTCCCAGATTATTTGGAACAGTTTCAGGAAGATTGGTATTAGTTCTTCTTTGTTCATTTTATGGAATTCAGCTATGAATCCATCAGGTCCTGGACTTTTTTTTTTCATGGGAAATGTATTTATTACTGATTCAATCCTGCTACTCATTATTGGTCTATTCAGGTTTTCAGTTTTTTCCTTCTTCAATCTTAGGAGGTTGTATGTTTCCAGGAATTTAGCCATTTCCTCGGGATTTTTTTGGTTTGTGAGCATGTAGTTGTTCATAATAGTCACAGATGAAATTTTGGTTTTCTGTGGTATCACTTGTAAGTCTTCTTTTCATTTCTGATTTTGTCTCTTCTCTTTTCTTGGTTGCTAGCAGTTTATCAATTTTGTTTCTCTTTTCAAAGAATCAACTTTTTGTTTCATTGCTCCTTTGAATGGTATTCTTACATAGATGCAATGATAATATGTTCTATAGGCTTTAGAAGAATCTTAGTGCATTGTCAAAGAAACATTTTTAGTTGAGCACATACATTATGAGCAAAGGAGTGGCATTAGATCTTCATAGTAGAGACAGTTATAGTGTTTCTAATACATGTGTTTCTTAGAGAGAATCTAACAACATGGAAAGGGCCTACTCACAAAGGCCACTGTGCAAAGATAACAGGAAACTCCCCAAAAGCTTATCTTCAAGTTAGCTGCATCAAGTCCTGTGGTGCTTGAAAATCTCTCCATTAATGCTGAATTGAAGACTACAGGGAGATGAAAAGACTGTAGGATTAATATGCTTCATCACGATAATCTATAATATTAAGAAATAATTTAAAATTGTTGAACAAATATGTCATGGTGTATGTCCCAAAGGTTCATTATGGGCTATTGAATTAATAACTTTATAAATCTATTCACATATCACCTAAGACATAAAATTATTTTCAAAAGAAACAGAATTTGATATACAAACATTTAAGAACTCGAATTGCCTTGTAAAGATGTCCACATACGATTGGGAAAGAAGGCAGACCTTCCCAGAGGGAGTGAGTAAAGCATCATCAGCAAATAATAAGTTAAACAAAGTGAATAAAAGCTTATTGTTAGGTTTGTAATGTTTGTGACAATATTGTAGGAAATATTGTACATAAAATGCTGTATGGAGTATAAACTCAGATGTAACAGGATCATATTTGAAAATAGTAAATATGTTTAATATTCTTCTTCTTAGTAAATCATGTTCCCTAGCCATCATTTTACCTTATTGCAATACCAATCCAAAAAGAGGAGAATAAGAGGCCATGTAGTTCCACATCAGCCCAGAAAAGGCGTCCCCTTTTTCTGGTCATGACAGATTATGAGAATGAAAAGGGGATGAAGGCAGAAAGTTCAGGAGGTGAGACACATATCTAAACTCCTCTATCAGAGCTAAAGTCCCAGAAGTCAAGTCTTCTTAGTTACACTGAGGAACAAGTGAAGAAGAGATGATGACTTTAATTTAGCTTCCTACTTGAGTTTTTGAAGGGAGATCACTTGGCAGGGTACTTGTGGTAGCCTGTTCAACAAATGTTTCCAGTTCTTTTCCCTTTCAGGTACACAGCATAATTGTAATTCCTGTCCACTTGAGGTAGGGTGGAACTATGTAACTAATTCTGCCCAATGACTTGTGAGTGGAAGTGGAAGCATATGATTACCAGAGTGAGACCATCCAGAGCTCTTCTTTTCCCTCTGGCACAGAGTTTTTCACATGTCTTTCAAGACAACACATATATTAGCTGAGAATCTGGGTACAATTTAACAGAGGAAATGATCAGGAAGTTAATTGAGTCTGTAGTCAAGGGCAGCAATGCTACTCAATGCCAGCAATCAAGTAGGCCTTACAATCAGAGTTTGGAGTGCCTATAGCATCAGCAGAAATGATGTGGCACCCATCAGCAAAGGGCGATGTACTTGTTTCTGGGAATATGGCTTATGCCAACTGAATGGCCAGTGGGACGTAGCAACCACAGACTTTGGAAGTGGTGTTAAAAAAAACACCTGTGATTAAGTATAGATTAACTATACCTTAGTGATGTCATCTAAGGATCTAAGGACTGAAGGACCTGACCAGTGGAGACCAACACAGATACTCATATGTCCCAAGAAACTCTCTCCACCCACCCAATGCCATGAATTTACATGAGCCCTCATATGCCCAAATTCCACCTTGGAAAACATTAGCGAGAGGACATGAAAATCTGGAAGACAACACTTACTGGAAAAGATCTCATCTAAAATAGGCTATTAAACCCGTTAGAGATTAGGCCACTGACTTACATTTGGGTATTTCCAAATCTAGCAAATACTTCTGTATTAGTTTTGACTAAAAATGGAATTACAAGCAGGTAGTCATTTCCTATAACATCTCCAATACTAAAGGTTGTTGACGATACTGAAAAGAAAAATGATTAATTCATTTTCATGATATTTTCTAGGCTCTAAAGCAGGGATCTTAAAAATCAGAGCAGCCAAATGCTTCTACTCTGTAGGATTAATCTATGGCAACATCTTAATGAGTCTTGCTTATCTGGTGCCTATCTTCACACATGTTGACACCTATACATATTGGGTAAATTATGATATGATAAAGCTAAAAGTGCTGATCATAGGTAATGATAAATATCATTTGCACAAACAGATTAATTCACGCAGAATTGACATATCTGACTCCTTGGCCACATTTACCATTGATGCTGTTATGTTTGACTGTAGATATCAGATTCATTTGACATTCGAAATGTCATTTAATACAACTCAGAGGAAAGGGTGAAATAAAAATAAAGGGTCTATTGGCTCTCATATTTCTAGTAACTATTAGAAGAAGTAGTAAACAGAAGTTCATATCTCATGGCTACAAGCAGAATGTTTCCCTGTACAGTCATACAACTTTATCAATGCTGTATTCCAAATGCCTTTTTATTAGATTTGAGTCACTGCACTTAAGATCTGGGAACATTGACCAGCTCCATCTGGCTGGCCTTTGTATCTGTGAACAAAGTAGAGAAATACACAAAGGTTAATAATTTTTTTTGGGGGGGAAGCTGAGAAAAAAGGGTCACTATTATGAAGTTTGAGCCTAAACTTTTTGGATATATTAACATTAAATACAACATGTATCAGTAAACATTTAGATTTTATAAATTATATATTTTAATAATTTTTATTATGTATTTATTTGAAAAAATCAGTTTTATACCATATTCTATTTTGAGATATTGCATTCTAATAAATAGTGGTGAGTTCATATGGCTAAAAGTGTCATAAAGAAATGCTTAGGGGTGAACTTTCCTATTGTAAGTATTTTCCTTGTATTTTGTAATCTGATTTTAAGCTATGGTGATCGGTTGTGCACTAATAATGGTATTTCTCAAAGGAAGAAATAGTATAATATAAAAAGTATTTCATAAAGTGCTCAATTCTTTTTTTATTGTTGTTGTTGTTGTTTGTTTGTTTTTTGAGACGGAGTGTCTCTCTGTCCCCCAGGCTGGAGTGTAGTGGCGCGATCTCGGCTCACTGCAAGCTCCGCCTCCAGGGTTCACGCCATTCTCCTGCCTCAGCCTCCGGAGTAGCTGGGACTACAGGCGCTGCCACCACACCCGGCTAATTTTTTGTATTTTTAGTAGAGACAGGGTTTCACCGTGTTAGCCAGGATGGTCTCCATCTCCTGACCTCGTCGTGATCCGCCAGCCTCAGCCTCCCAAAGCACTGGGATTACAGGCGTGAGCCACGGCGCCTGGCCAAAATTAATTCTTTTCTATGGACACATTAGGGCATTTTTCTGGTTCTACCAACATAAACGGTAGCTAGTGTTTTGAGAAAGCATTACTAAGTAGATCAGGATTCCAATGCTGGAGAAATATAAGGAGAAATAATAAAAAGTCGTGTTTAGTCTTTCTACCGCTTTTCTGTTTGCAAGAAAAAAGATTGTCTTCTCAATGATCCTTTTGACAAAGTTAAATGTTAATAAAACTATCACATCTATTATTTAATTCATTGGACTTTCTATTTGAATGTTTCACTGACAGCAAGGAGTATACCGCTCTACAAACTTTCAATGAGGAAAGTATATTGCTCTACCAAGTCATTAATAAAGTAGTGTTTTGGCAGGCCATGAGAGTTAATTTGAACATTTTCTGGCAAGAGAGAAAAAGAGGGCAAAACAAATACCTATGTCCAATTAGACCGTATCAAATCTCTTTGGACCATACTGTGAATCTCATTGCCACCCCTGTTTACTAACTTGGCACCCTTAGAGTAGAATATGATGGTTATAACCTTATAGGACATGTAACTGAGAAAGTTCAATGAATGATTAAGATTAGAGACAGAATAATTCCAAGAACAGACTATTGTTTTGACAAAGTGGAGAGTCAGTGTAGTTTACTGTAAACTGTGTGCATGCACCCGTGTGTGTGTGTGTGTGTGTGTGTATAATCTTGTTTTCTCAGTCTTTTGTGTAAATAATCTTGGAGAAAAGAGTTTTCTATAGGAGATAATTGGGAAGAAAAAATAGTTTAATTTTGTCTCAAAAAACACAGAAAAAATAGTTTAATTTTATTAGCACTTTCTTCTTTGGATTATATTTCAGATTTTAGTAATCTGGTTTTTTATCGAATGATATTTAGAAATTACAATTTTAGGTTAAATATTAATGCAATATTTTTGAAAACAAAGTAGTCAAATCCTAATTTTGAGAGCTTTACTTTTTTACTGACTTTGCCTTTTTGGAATGTGCTTATCAAACATTTAAAAGCCTATCTATTTTGCAAAATTGCATATGCATGCAATTTGAAATGCAGCATATTTACAGTTGTAGGGCCATTTTACTAAATTTATTATCTGGAACTCAACCTTAACCTGGAAGACCCATATGTAAGGATTTAATAATAAATTATTGTAAATCAAGAGTATTCAAATCATACTTTTTGGGTCAAATTTTTATAATGATGTAAAATTCGTGTAACATAAAATTAACCATTCACCATTTTAAGTGTATAATTCAGTGGCATTTAGCACGTTAACATTGCTGTGCAGCTATCACTTCCAGCTAGTGCCAAGTTATTTTCATCAACCCTAAAGGAAACCACATGTCCTTTAAGCAGTTACTCCCTATTTCTCCCTTGCCCAGCTCCTGGCAACCACTAGTCTGTTCTCCATTTCCATAGACTTACCTTTTCTGGGTGTTTCGTATAAATCAGATCAAACAATATGTGACCTTTTGTGTCTCGCTTCTTTCACTTAGCCTAATGTTTTTAAAGTTCATCCATGTTATAGCATATATCAGTACTTCATTTTTTTAGAGTGGAATAATATTTTATTATGAATAGACCTCATTTTGCTTATCTCATTCTTTCATTGATGGATATTTGGGTTGCCTCCGACTCTTGGTTATTGAAAATAGTACTGCTATGAAATCAGTGTGCAAATATCTCTTTGAGATCCTGTGTTCAGTACCTTTGGTTATATACTGTACTAATCTAGGTTATCCAGTTAATATAAGGAATTGGCTTATGTGCTATGGAGGCTGAGAAGCTGAAGATCTAAAGTCGACAATCTGGAGACCCAGGAGAGATGATGGTATGGTTATGGTCTAAGTTTCAAGGCTTCAGACCCAGGAGACCCAGTGGCATAAATTTCAATCTAAAGACAGGAGAAGACCAACGTGTCAGCTCAAAGACAGGAAGAAAGAAGAAATTCTTTTTTGGTCAGCTTCTTATTCTATTCTGGCCTTCATAGAATGCATGAGGCCCACACACGTTGCAAATGGCAATCTGATTTACTCAGTTTATCAATTCAAATGTTAATTTCATCCAGAAACATCCTCATGGACACATCTAGAAATATTTAACCAGATATCTGAGTACTCCATAGCACAGTGTAGCTGACATATAAAATTAACCATAAGAAGTGGGATTGTTAGATCATATGGTAGTTCTGTCTTGAATTTTTTGAGGAACTGGCATACTGTTTTCCATAGCAGTTATCATTTTATTTACATTGGTTTTATTTGCATTCCTCTAATGATTAGTGATATTGAGCATCTTTTTATATGCTTGTTGGCCATTTGTATATCATCTTAGGAGAAATGTCTCCTGAAGCCCCTTTCTCCATTTTTTAATGAGGTTATTTGATTTTTTTTCTTGTTTAATTGTAGTTCTTTAGATTGTCTGAATATTAACCCATATATATATATATATATATATATATATATATATATATATATATATATAATGCAAATCTTCTCTCCCATGTCATAAGTTACTTTTGTATTCTGTTGATTGTGCCATTGGTACAGAAAACCTTTTAAGTTTGATGTAATCTCATTTGTCTATTTTCGCTTTTGTTGCTTGTGATTTTGGAGGCATATCCAAGAAATCATTGCCGAATCTAATATTGTGAAGTTTTCTTCCATGTTTCCTTCTGGGAGTTGTATAGATTTGCATCCTACAGTTAGGCTTTTAATCCATCTGAGTTAACTTTTGTATATGGTGTAAGATAAGCCCCTACCTTTACTCATTTGCATGCAGATATTCAGTTTTTCCAACACCGTTTTTAAAGAGACTGCCCTTTCCCCATCGAGTGATTTTGTTATCCTTATCTGACATCACCAAATATTTGATTGTTTCTTTCCAGGCCCTCTGTTTTATCACATTGGTCTATATACCTGTCTTTATGCCAGAAATATATTGGTTTTGATTACTGTAGTTTTATAACATATTATAAAGTCAGGAAAGTGTGAGTCCTTTAACTTTTTCTTCAAGATTGTCTTAGCTATTTTGGGTCCTTGAAATTTCACATGAATTTTAGAATGGACTTTTCTATTTCTGTAAAAAAAAAGACATTAGGATTTTTATCGGGATTGCTTAAATCTATAGATTACTTTGAGGAGTATTGACATGTCAACAATATTAAGTATTTTAATCCATGACCATAGAAGGCCTAAATTATACTTGTTGAGAGATGGTGCTTTTAAGTCATCATTTGTTTTTGTCTGGTAATTAGCTGAATCATTACTGTCACTTTACAATTGCTGCCCATTTCTTTGAGAATCTGAGAGAAAAATTACAAGACAGTTTGGCTAGAAAACCAGAGATCACAACCAAAGTTCTGTTTATGGAGCCTCATTTCCTCCACCGGCTCTCGGTGACACTGCCTTCTCCAGGTCCTTGTGCCAGGCCTACCTCTGACCAGACTTGCTCAGTTTTCTTTCTATACCTCTGTCTCTGCTGTGGTCAACTACTTCTTTATAATATAGTTTTTATTAATTTTCATCATTTTTGAGAGTCTGAAACTTAGTGTGCAATCTAACAAATATTTTTAGTAGTTAAATTAATGAAGTACCTTAAAATCATAAAAGTAACTAAAATTTAAACTGTTATTCAATAGTAAGAAAGTGGTTGACATTATATTTACTGAAACCCCAGACTTATTTATTGAATTTCATCTTATCACTTTTCTGAACTATGAAGGAGATAGTGGTGTTAATTACATATGAAATTCTTGGTTCAGGTTATGATATTTGAAATTTTTCTAATCCTTAGTAAAATTTCTGCAAGTGTAATAAACTCTGGTATATTTTTTTCCCACAGTTCATATATTTGAAAGGATTCATCAGATTACACAAAGTGTACTTTTTTTTTTTACAAAAATGCAAATTATGTGATACAGCAAGAGAAGGAAAAAGCAAGCAAACATTGGGAGTACAAGAGACATTTTGACATCCCAACTCTCCAGGGCCACCTTCTTTTCATACACGGGACCAGGCTGTGTCTCTAATTTGAACCTCTAAGATCTGGACCAGGAATTTTGGCTTTGTGGGAGTTCAGAGAAGCCCTTATAGGGGTGTTATAAGTTCCTGTAGTCATATAAGCAAGCCACGCTTTTCACCTGGTTATGTCAGTGGCAAACCATTAGTAAAGAAAGTAAGTATTAAAGTCTCCGGGTCAGAACATAAACAGAATTACATAAATCTTACTGACCCTAGCTTAGCCAAGAGTAAAAAAACCAGACATCCAGGTGTTTCCAGATTCAAAGACAGGTTTTTCAGCCCAGTTACAAATCCATTTTATCTACATACACATCTTGAAAACCTAAGAAAGTAGGAGGGTCCATAGTAAAGATTTTTTTTTTTTTTTTGACAAGTTCTCACTCTGTCACCCAGGCTGGAGTGTAGCAGCATGATCAGAGCTCTCTGCAGCCTCAATCTCCTGGACTCAAGGGACCCTCTCGCCTCAACCTCCTGAATAGCTGGGACAATAGTCATGTGCCACCATGAGATAACGTTTTATTTTTTTGTAGAAATGGGGCCTATGTTGCCCAGGCTAGTCTTGCCTAAAGAAAGGTCTGGGTTTTACCCTTGGCTTCTTGGAGGTAATCTCTAGCTCTTGGAACATCATGCCTGATAGGAACATCTTTGCTTTCCTGGGGACCTTGAGCCAGCAAGATATTAACAATGTGATTTAAAGTGGGGTTGGAGCTTTGAGTCACAGGCTACATGTCCTATAGGTCTGAAAACTTAAGACAGCCACATGCACAGTCAACTATCTAGTAATGGATAAGACTCTGGACATCAAGGCTCAGGTGAGCATCCCTGCTTGGCAGTACTACCTAAGCAATGTCACACATTGATGCCAGGAAATGCTGTCCTGATTCCACAGGGAGAGAACAATAGGAAGCTTCACATTTGGTACTGTCTTGGGCTTTTCTCTATGCTTCCCTTTTCTTGACTGATATTAATCTGTATTCTTTCACTGTAATAAATCATAACCATGAGTCTAACACCTTTCAGTGAGTTCTGTGAGCCCTTCTAGTGAATTACCAAACCTGAAAGTAGTTTTGGGAATCCCTTGAACTTGCAACTGGTGTTAGAAGTGAGAGTGGCCTTGTAGACTATGCTCCCTTTAACTTTCACAGGAGGTAAAAGATGGTCTTCTTTAAATCCCCCACATTCTGTATTTTATAATAAGAACACAGGACTGTTATCCTATATGATAGGCCGACATAGAGATTTCAGCAGGATGTGCCGGGGAAGCGTTGGAAGTACAGATTGGATGAATAAGAAATCATAGAATTGGCTCCAATCATGAAAGCTAAGGATAGAAGATTGAAGAGTATGGATGTTTGTTCTTTACCAAACAACTTAATCATTTAGAAGAGTAAAATATCAAAAATATTTACATGATATAATATAAAGGTACCTTTGGCAACTTGAAAGAGGAGATCTAAATGCACATAGAAAGAGAATCAAAGAAGAGGATGTTTGAAAAATAAAGACAATTCCAGGGCTTCAAGCCTGAGTGATAATGGGGCAATTATGAGTAGGAGAGGAGCAGGTTTTAGAGATTTGCTGCCTAGAAGAGTTTTGTGCTTGTTGAGCTTGAGGTAATCTGTAAGATACCCACATATAGGCCGAGTGAGGTGGCTGATGCTTGTAATCCAAGCACTTTGGGAGGCCAAGGTGGATGGATCATTTGAGGTCAGGAGTTCGAGACCAGCTTGGCCAACATGGTGAGACCCCCCCATCTCTACTAAAAATATGAAAATTAGCCAGGCACGGTGGCAGGCACCTGTAATCCCAGCTACTCAAGAGGCTGAGGCAGGAGAATCGCTTAAAATCGTGAGGTGGAGGTTGCACTGAGCCAAGATCACGTCATTGCACTCCAGCCTGGGTGACAGAGTGAGACTCCATCACACACACACACACACACACACACACACAAAGATACCCACATATAAATAATCCACAGTAGCTTCTATTCTGGAGCTAAGAAGATAAATTGAGCATGAACACATAGCAGTGATAGTTACTTAAACCTGGTAAAATGGATAGAATTGCCAAGTAGAGGATGGAAATGAGAAGCAAAGAAGATTGGGGTAGGATTTTTATGAACACCTACATCAGAAATTAGGCAAAGGAGAACTGGGGAGGAGCAGGTGTTAGAGCTGTCATAAAGCCCAGCATAGCAACCTACAGAAGGGAGTCTTAGAGAGTGGTGGCAGAAAATCAATGTAGCGTTCTTTTTAAAACTGCATACTTATAAATGCACATTTTTGTTATCATTAGGCTTTTAGGCTTTTGTTTACTTCTTGAACAAGTTTGAGTCAATAGAGCCTCATGACCCTTTTATATGCCAGCACGTTTTTCTCTAAAAATCTCTCACAGTACTACTTACAAGTTGTATTATCTGGTTTTCTTCTTCTTTTATAGATTGTAAATTTATTGAGGAAGGGCCTAGATACACAAGTAGCCCATAGTTAGTGCTCCAGTTCAAAACATTCCTGTCATAGTTCAGTAGTTAAAAAAAAAAAAATCAGTCTTCCAGTAAAGGGAAGTATGGTTTCTCTGACCAAAAGCGAATCTCTGTGTCCCTTGAGTTACCTATTTTTATTACTAGAATATTTATTTTCAAAGTATAATTTTCAGAAATTAAAAATATGTTGCAGACTGGGCACAGTGGCTTACGCCTGTAATCCCAGCACTTTGGGAGGCTGAGGCAGATGGATCACCTGAGGCCAAGAGTTCAAGACCAGCCTGACCAACATGCAGAAACCCCATCTCTACTAAAAATACACAATTAGCTGGGTGTGGTGGCACATGCCTGTAATCCTAGCTACTCGGGAGACTGAGGCAGGAGAATTGCTTGAACCCGGGAGGTAAGGTTGCAGTGAGCTGAGATTGCACCATTGCACTCCAGCCTGGGCAACAAGAGTGAAACTCCATCTAAAAAAAAAAAAAAAAAAAAATTGAGGTCTTTAGAATTTTTTCTAAGGAAAAAAAATATTCTCAGTAAAATTAGGTTCAGAGGAAATAAGGAAACAGCTCCTGGACCAATGATGTGACATTCCTGAGCTGTTGTTTCTCTTCTGGACTTCTATCTGCCCAGAGTTCTTCCACAGGATCTCTGTGAAACTCAAATTAGAGAATGTATGGGAAAACTTTCTAAATTATGAAGTATTAAATTGTGAGAAACATGTCAGGAATCACTATTCCTAGGTGCTTCCCCAGGTGCCTCACCCTAATGGGATTCAGACCTACTTAGAGGAACAAAAATATAGAGACAAACACTTCCCTCACACATGTAGGTGGATTTTAAAGGTCCCGCAATGAGATTAATGATCATTGCACATGTCAGATGCCCCCTTTCACACTTATTTTAAATTCATTTTTTCAGTCCATGTTAATTATGGAAGTCCCTTCCCCGTAAAGCAATAGAAGTTCTGCTGTGTTTTGGCCGGGCGCGGTGGCTTATGCCTGTAATCCCAGCACTTTGGGAGGCCAAGAAGGGTGGATCACCTGAGGCCAGGAGTTAGAGACCAGCCTGACCAAAATGGAGAAACCCCATCTCTACTAAAAATACAAAATTAGCCAGGCGTGGTGGTGCATGCCTGTAATCCCAGCTACTAGGGAGGCTGAGACAGGAGAATCGCTTGAACCCGGGAGGCGGAGGTTGCAGTGAGCTGAGATCACGCCATTGCACTCCAGCCTGGGAAACCAGAGTGAAACTCCATGTCGGAAAAAAAAAAAAAGTTCTGCTATGTTGCACTCGTGAAATGCTGGCATTTTGGTTTATGTTGTGAGGACTCACTTTACAATCAACAAAGATAAAACCATTATAGAAATGCCAAACTATTAATAACTGTTGTTTAATTTCATTAGAAGAAAAGATGGCTTATCCTTGAAAATAATTTGTAAAACATGGTGGCAACATTTTGAATTATTCTTATTTGAGTACACAGATTGTTTACCAAATACTTTCAACAAATTAAACAAAATGTGAAATTGCAATTTGACCTCTGCAACTGTCTTTCTCATCTATGATTTTATCACTTTTATAAGATCCTTGATAAGATTTCTCATGGAACATGTGGATCAGCAAAGAACATTCTTATTTTTTCCACTTCCTTGTTTTTTTCCACTTTGTCATAGATTATTGTATTTCACTTTATTTAAGCTGTGTCCTCTAGCAGGCGTAGCTCTGGGGGCACCGCTGAGCCTGTTGGCATCTGTTAACATGGCTGTGGGATGTGATGAGTCATGGATTGTCCTGGACATTACACAGTCCATTGACTTTGGGTACAATAATATGTTCTTGTTTTACGTTGGCTGTACTATGATATTACTAAAAGGAAGGTGTTCCTTCTTAATTCCAATACATTTCATTTCCATTTTGTGAGATCTGTCTTTGTAGTTCTTTGCCTCCTTTCTCTTCCCATGGTTCTCCTTCATATTCTAGACTTTTTTTTTTTTCAGCCTGAGGGGGAAGGACATTTCTTTGTGGAAAATAAATAAATGACATAACACATTAAATAATTCAAACTTGGCTCAGGTGAAGTGTTTACAGTCACAGAGTCTTGTACTATCCTTAACCAGAGTAATTTAAATTATACCCATGTTAGTATTTAAGTAACTAAAATATTACTCCCTTTGTGAACATCAAATCAACATTTTACCTGAATTCTGGGATTATCAGGATACAAAGCATTTTAGGTATGTTACAGGTTATTTTTTTAGCAATCTCGAAAGTCTTTTTCCTACTTCAAAATTTGACAGTATAAGAGAAGCCTTTTTCTGTGAGATTCTTTAAGATCAAATATATGTCAAACTCTCAGATAATATCTTCCAGCTTGAAATAACAAATATTACAGATCAGTACAATACAGCCTTAGCTGCTGGTGAGACAATCTCTTTGATATTGAGAAAGTTTGAAAGTATGTCATACATCAGTATAAGAATAGATGCTCCTTGGTAAGGAGTAGTAGAATTCTGGGTAAACTGTACTTCTAATAGGTTTTTGTGATATTTTTAGGGTTCTCTACATGTATGATCATATAATCTGAGAAGAGGGATGATTTAATTTTCCCCTTTCCATTTTGGATATCTTTTTAAATTTCCTCTTCTTGCCTAATTGTTCTGGTTAGGACTTTAAGTGCTATGTTGAATAGACTGGCAAACGTGGACATCCTTGCCTTGTTCTTGATCTTAGAGAAAACCCTTTCAGTCTTTCAACACTGAGTGTGATGTAAACTGGGGGCTTTTTTTTTTTTTTTTTTTTTTTTTTGAGACAGAGTCTCGCTCTGTCAGCAAGGCTGGAGTGCGGTGGCGCGATCTCGGCTCACTGCAAGCTCCGTCTCCCGGGTTCACGCCATTCTCCTACCTCAGCCTCCCGAGTAGCTGGGACTACAGGCGCCCCACACCACACCCGGCTAAATTTTTGTGTTTTTAGTAGAGACCGGGTTTCACCGTGTTAGCCAGGATGGTCTCGATCTCCTGACCTCGTGATCCGCCAGCCTTGGCCTCCCTAAGTGCTGGGATTACAGGCGTGAGCCACTGCGCTTCGGCCCCTGAGCTTCCTCCTTTTTCACAGTTGTTCTAGCTAAAGGCTTGACAATTCTGTTCATGTTTTACATAGTCAACCCTATGTTTCACTAATTTCTCTATTGTTTTTCTAGTCTCAATTTCGTTTATCTCTGCTGTAATCTTTATTGTATCTTTTTGTGTGCCAGATGTGTGAAGTTTCTTCTTTTTCTATTTCCTTAAGGAATAAAGGTAGGTTGTTGATTTAGTTCTTTTATAGTATAAACATCTACAGCTATAAAATTCCTTCTTACTATTACTTTTTCAGCATCTCACAAGTTTCAATAAACTGTGTTTACATTTTTATTTCTCTCAGTATATTTTCTAATTTTCCTTGTATTTTTTTCTTTGACCCATTGGTTACTTAAGGGTTTGTTGTTTAATTTCCACATATTTGTAGACTTTCTAGTTTTCCTCCTGCTATTGATTTCTAGTTTCATTCCATCATAATAAAAAAAGGTACCGTGATGATTTTAATCTTTTAACTGTATTAAGACTTTTTTGGGGGCTTAGCCTATGGTCTACCCTGAATTATGCTCCATGTATACTTGAGAAAAAAATGTGTATTCTATTGTTGTTGGGTGAAGTGTTTTGTATATGTCTGTCAGTTTCAATTGGTCTATAATGTTTTTCAAGTCCTCTGTTTCTTTACTGATCGTTTCTCTGGATGTTTAATCAATTATTGAAATGTGACATTAAAGTCCCTATAATTCTTGTACATCAGTATTTTCCTCCTTTCAATTATGTCAACATTTGTTTCATAAATTTAGGAGCTCTGATGCTTACTGTGTATATATATATAAATATATATATATATTTATAAATGTTATATCTTCTTGGTGAATTGACCCTTTTGTCATTATATAGTGTCCCTCTTTCTCTCTTGTGACAGCTTTCAACTTAACATCTCTTTTATCCAATATCGATATAGCCACTTGCTGCTCTTCTTTTAATATTTGCGTGAATTATCTTTTTTCCATTCTTTCCCTTCCCCAGTGCGTGTCCTCGGATTTATAACAAGTCTTGTGTAGACAGTATATAGTTGCATCTTGTGTTTTTATCCATTCTGCCAAAATATATATTATGATTAGAGATTTACTATTGCCATTTTGCTAATTTTTCTCTATGTCTTATAGGTTTTTTCCCCTTATTTCCTCACTTACTGCCTTCCTTTATGTTCAGTTGAGTTTTCAGTGACATTTATTTGATTTTCTTCTTATTTCTCTTTGTGTACATTCTCTAGATATATCTTTTGTGTTACCATGGGGATTACATAAAACAGTTAAGTTAGAAAAATCAATTTTAAACTGATAGCAACTTCAATCACATACAAAAACTCTACTCCTTTATAACTCTCTTCACACTCCCACTTTATGTTATGTCACAAAGTATCTTTCTATATTGTGTACCCATTAATATAGATTTATACTTATGCTTTTTAAACTTTAAATCCTATTAAATAATTAAAAGTGGCATTACAAATGAAAATTATAATAACACAATTTTTAAATATTTGTCCATACATTTATCTTTACCAAAGAACTTTAAATTTTTATAGGGCTTGAAGTTACTGCCTAGTGTCCTTTGTTGCAAGTTGAAGGACTTTCTTTAACATTTCTAATAGGAATGGTGTAGTGGTTACTATCAAGCAAGTGAAATCAGTTGTCTATCACCAGGAGTGAAAACCCTGATACTTCTGCCTACTGCATCTTGGTATTGGAGTTGCCAAGGAAAACACAGTACAGCCAATTGCTGAATAGATTAATGCTTTACTTACACAGAGTAGAGGCAGAGCACGACCAGCTCCACTAGTGGTCATGGGTCTCCCATGGCCAGTAGGTCCTGCCCAGCAGCTGACACAGGACAATTTGGCGGTACATACCTCTCTTGTGCTACAGAAGAACCCTTCCCCTCCCTGCAGGGGGCAAATGTAGTATCAGGTTTGGCTAGGTGCCATAATATGTGCAATTTTAAGCTGAACGAAGGAATACACATTGAGTCTGAAACAGGCTAAAATATTCCCACACAAGTGATAATCCCAGTACAGGATATGAAGGTTCTTTATTCTCGTGATAAAGAAGTTGTCCAGACCTTAGGCCCATTGTCACATGGCCAAGTGAGGGTCAAAAGATTGCATGCACAAGACTGCCTTTCCCAACAGTAACGAACTCCTCAGTTTTTCTGTAGAAATGTCTTACTTCTCTTCATTTTTTTGAAAAACAAATTTACTGAATATAGTATTCTCAGTTGGCAGGAGTTTAAAAAAAATCAGTTAAATATGTCATCCCACTGCCTTTTGGCCTGCAAATTTTCCGATAAGAAATTCACTGTTAATATTATAGATTTTCTTGTACATACTAAGTCACCTATCTCTTGCTACTTTCAAGATTCTCTTTGACTTTTGACAATTTGATTATAATATGTCTTAGTGTGGATCTTTGTGGATCCATCCGATTTAAAATTCACTGAGCTTCTCGTATTTGTATATTCATTTTTTTTTTTGAGATAGTCTCACCCTGTCACCTAGGCTGGAGTGCAATGGTGTGATCTCGACTCACTGCAACTCCTGACTGCTAGGTTCAAATGATTCTTGTGCTTCAGCCTCTCGAGTAGCTGGGACTACAGGCACACACCACCACACACGGCTAACCTTTTTTTGTATTTTTAGTAGAGGCGGGGTTTCACCATGTTGGCCAGGCTGATCTCGAACTCCTGACCTCAGGTGATCCACCTGCCTTGGCCTCCCAAAGTGCTGGGATTACAGGCATGAACCACTGCGCCCAGCCTGTGTATTCATTTCTTTCCTCATACTTGGGAACTTTTCATCCATTGTTTCTTCAGATAAGCTCCCTGTCTCTTTGTCTCTTCTTCTTATGGTAATTCCATAATGTGTATGGTTCACTCGACAATGTCCCATATGTCCCTTAAACTCTGTTCACTTTTACTCATTCTTTTTTCTTTTTGCTCCTCAGATTCAACAATGACAAATATCTTTAAGTTTACTGATTCTTTCTTCTGCCTGATCAAGTCTCCCTATAGTAAATTTTTCAACTAAGTTACTCTGTTTCTCAGGTTCAGAATGTTTGTTTGTTTTCTGTGATTTTAAAATTATCTCTTTGTTAATATTCTCATGTCATTCATAAAATATCTTCCTGAGTTTGCTTGTATGTCTGTTCATGTTCCCCTTCAGCTCATTTAGCATACTTTAGACATCTTTATTGTTTGAATATCTTTATCAAATAAGCCCAAGCTCTGCTGTTCTTTAAGATCAGTTACTGGAGATTTATTTTGTTCCTTTGAAGGGGCTACGTTTTCCTGTTCCTTTGTGTGTCTTGTGATCTTTTGTTGAAAATTGAGCATTTGAAAAAAGTAGCCTTGTCTCCTAGCTTTTTGTGGACTGGCTCTATGCAGGGGAAGACCTTTACTAATCATCCTGGCATAAAGGTACAAGCTCCTTTCATACTTTTACTGGAGATGTGTCTTTCCTTGCCTTGTGTGTATGCTTTTGTTCCAGTTCCCCATATACAAGGCTGCTTTAAATGTCTTAATTTCCCCAAGAGGCATATTGCTGCTGCTTCTTAGAGGTCAGGGAATTTTTATTGTTTTCCTTTGTCTATAATCTGTGCCACCGGGGGTCTTCTGACCGCTTGTGGCTCTTAGTCACCATGGTGCCTGTCTGTTTTAAATGACCTTGAACCTATTCAAGGTCATTTGAATGGCTATTCAAACTATGCCACCACTTCCATCAGCTTTTTAAATCAGGTAAGATAGAAATAGTCTTCCAGTCAATCTCCAGATAAGCTCCTCTCTTCCTCTTCCAGCTTGAGGCTGGAACTTGGATTGGACAAATTCCTCCTGATCACATCACACTATGTTGAAGAGGAGGTGGGTTAAGGGCAAGAAAAATGCCATGAAATTTCATACTGCTTCCAATGTGGCCTTTTGTTCAGTTAGGCATTTGCTTTGTTTCTTAGCTAATTTTAGGAGTTCTTACAAAGTGACTTTGGTCTATATATTTTTTATTTGACATTTTTATGGGAAAATATGGCCCTGGAGCTTCCTAATCTGCCACTTGCTGATATATCTTTAATGAATGAAATAAATTAATAAAATCAGAAACAGGACATATTTTATAATATAAATATACAATATCTTAAGAAGAACAATTTGGATGCTGGCATGAATGTTAATCCTTCTCTTTTAGCAAAAACGTTTCCACATTATTAATAGCGCTCCCTCTATCAGGGAGTGCCAAAGTAGCGTTCTTTTAGTATTGGAGACCCAGCTCTTAGTGTTTAGGTTTATGTATATCTGCTCTGCTTCTGAACAGTACATTACTTCAGAGTTAATTATTTTATTACCTACTTCTAAAAGAAGCAGTAGCTTCTAGTTTGGCATAATTGTCAACTGCTTACATTTAAAATAATACAACATAATTTAATGTCTGACTGTGATAAATGCCTGTGAGATTTGCCTCCAGATGCAGGCACTGGTACCCCCTTACTGGGCATCCTCCTCTCATACCCTGTTCTCCAAAGACCCTCAAACCTTTTCTTCCCATGGAGGAGTATATTAGTCTGTTTTCAGACTGCTCATAAAGACATACCCGAGACTGGGTAATTTATAAAGGAAAGAGGTTTAATTGACCCACAGTTCCACATGGCTGAGGAGGCCTCAGAATTATGGTGGAAGAGCAAGGGATGCTTTTCCCAGGCAGAGAGAAAGAGAACCAAGTGAAAGGGGTTTCCCCTTATAAAACCATCAGATCTTGTGAGACTTATTCACTACCACAAGAACAGTATGAGGGAAACCACCCCCATGATTCAATTATCTCCCGCTGAGTCCCTCCCACAATATGTGGGAATTATGGGAGCTACAATTCAAGATGAGATTTGAATGGGGACACAGCCAAACCCTAGCAAGGCGTTCTTGTAAAGGAGTGGCATCAAATCCTCCTTACTTGCTCATTGTCATGATCCTGCATTTAATTGATGGGGCAATTCCACATAGTACAGTATCCCTGTAACTCTGCAATTCCCCTGAATATAGAGAGCATCCAGGTGAAACTGTACCAAGTATCCATTAAAAGAAGACAAAATAACAATTTAAAAAGTGTAAGAATGAAAATTTTTGTTTTCTCAGCCATCATATAAGCATTTGTATTATATACACTTGTAGCCAAATATTATGGAGTCAGGTTTGTTAGAGATTTAAAACATGATATAATTGTAACGTATCATATTTAAGAAAATAAGTGATTCTGTACCAGCTACTTGAATTGGACATATTTGATTTTTTTAATGCTAAGCTGTAAATAATTTATACATTTTATAAATATGTAGTATGAGTTTCAACTCAAATTCTTTGAGAACAATTCCCTAAATGGAAACATTAAAAGTCATGGAATGCAGTAAAAAGGAAATTACCAAAAACACCTACAAAACATAAAGATGAAATTCAAGTGGTCCAATGGATAGGAAAATTTCCTGGAGTTGAGAAAATTAAGGACCTTAAAAAATTATTGATCAAGTGGCTTCACCCAAGATTACCACTTTTTTAAAAACAGGATATGAGAAGATTTAAATGATGTAGTTCAGAACACTTAGAAATGTATCTCATGGCTTTAAACAGGATAGACTCTTAAAAACAAATGGTCAGATTAACACCTTACGCTGTCCTGAATCCTATTCAAATGGGATTTCAAGCATTTATGAGCACATCATGGTAGTAAGAAACTGGAAGAAACTGCAACCTTTAACATGAGGATGTTTGCAAAATGGTGCAAAGTTGGAAGAAGAATAGAAATCACAGAAACATCTCTGTATAGCATTATAATTGCTAAATGTGTATATTTAGCACTTGATTTTATAGATGAAAAATTGAAACTTAATTTAAGAATAAATGTCTTTATTATTTCTATTTATAGATAGAGAACAGGAATGGAGAATTCAAATGACTCACCAAAGTCACACGGTAATTTTAAATGTTGAAAATGTGACCCAGATCAGACTCCAATTTTGTGGGTCTCCTTATCTATGTTCTGCCTTCCAGAATCAGGAATAGTCCCTACTGACCTCTCAGTAAAAGTGGTGACAATGCTAAAATACAAGGTCCTTAATGTAGATTTGAGATTTTCTAAATAAGTTACTTTTTTTTTTTTAGAAATAATTTGACAAAAGTGACATTCATTTTTTTCAACAGACGTTATTTGAGTGCTTATTTTATGTCCCTGGGTCTGAATATTTTCTTTGTAGTTATTTAAAGTAATGAATAAGCAGAAGCAGATATAGATTACCAATTTACATAAAGTAATGTGTTTGTTAATGGGTGTACCTCTAAATTAATATACTGGATTCTTTCAGATAAATATCATTTCACTGTTTTAATAGATAAACAGATGAACTCTATTAGAGGTTAAATAATATTGCCAATGTCATACAGCAAATAGTTGACCCAGACTTGGAACACAAGTCAGCGAAGATTGCGAATCCCTTAATTTTCAGCGATGTCACACTGAGTGACAGGATCTCACAGTTTCACTAACAGAAAAGTTGTTGACATATGTATACTCTAAATTTAATTGTTCATAAGAAACTAACAATTTACATAGACTTGAAATGAATCAGGCATCTAGAAATAAAATGTACTTAAATATGCAATGATGGTCATTTTGGGGACAAAGAGTAAATTTAGTGGCTTACCAGCCACTAAAAATGGGTTTCTGCTGGCTAGAGATGAGACTCAGCCGTGGAATGGGCAGGAAGATTTTAAAGGAATATTCCGCATCCTGTGCATTGGACACAAGACCAGAGCGCTTCAGGCAGTTGCATAATCCGTTACTCCTGGCCACTCACACAGATGGAAGTTATGAAGGGACAAAAAAGTGTGGTATAGAGAATATGGTTTCTGTACTCAGAGACATCTGGATATGAATTCCAATTTCCCCACTCACCCACTGTTTGTTTGAGTAAGTAATGCTAATCCTTAGTTTCCTAACTTGTAAAATTTGGGTAGTAAGAGCTAGCCATAGTGTTATAAAATAATATATATGAAACTCCTACACAGGGCCCAATACACCGTAGGCACTCAGTCCAAAACCCCCACGGTGTTCCAGATGCTTAGCTCACTCCTTTCCTTACAGGCATCTGGAGATGGAGAGCCCCTCATAATAAAAGCTGACTTTTTTTTGAGACAGAGTCCAGTTCTGTCACCCAGGCTGGAGTGCAATGGCGCGATCTCCGCTCACAGCAACCTCCACCACCCGGATTGAAGCGATTCTCTTGCCTCAGCCTCCCGAGTAGCTGGGATTACAGGCATGCGCCACCACGCCCAGCTAATTTTCTATTTTTAGTAGAGACAGGGTTCTCCGCGTTGGTCAGGCTGGTCTCTAACTCCCGATCTCAGGTGATCCGCCCACCTCGGCCTCCTAAAGTGCTGGGATGACAGGCGTGAGCCACTGGGCGCCGCTGGCAAAAGCTGACTTCTATTAAGGGCTTATCACATGACCATAGGTAAAGGAGGGCAAAAATTATCGTTCATTTTACTTCCTTAAATAGGCGATACAAACGAAACAGCGATAAATTCATTGCTTAGGTTTTCCAGAAAAGTTTTTATAGTTTCAGGAATGGCATCTCAAAGGAAAGATAATTCTATGAACTTACCACAGTTTGTTTAACCATTCACTATAGGAAAACATTTGGGCTATTTCCAGCTTTTGGTTAATACAAATAAAGCCACTATGAACAACTGTACACATGTTTTCATGTGAACAGAAATGTTCCATTTCTCTGTAATACTGTAATGCCTAAAACTTTTATTGCTGGGCTGTATGATACGTGTTTAGTTTTATTTAAAAAAAACACATAATTTTATGAAAGCACCGTCTATTTTATAAACACCACGTAGTCTTAAGTCCTGAAGACTTTCTCCTATGTTTATTTTTCTAAAATATTTATAGTTTTAGGCCAGGTGCGGTGGCTCACACCTGTAGTCCTAGCATTTAGGAAGGCTGAGGAGGGCGGATCACCTGAGGTCAGGAATTACCGCGACCAGCCTGGCCAACAAGGTGAAACTCCGTCTCTAGTAAAGATGCAAAGATGAGCCGGGCGTGGTGGTGGGCGCCTGTAATCCCATCTGCTCGGGAGGCTGAGGCAGGATAATTGCTTGAACCCGGAGGCGGAGGTGGCAGTGAGCCGAGATGGCGCCACTGCAGTCCAGCCGGGGAGAATTTGTGATCCATTTTTAGTTCATTTTTGGTAAGATGTGAGGTTAAATGTAAAGTTCATTATTTTATCCATGGATGCATAATAATTGTCCCAACACAATTTATTGAAAGGTTACCCTTCCTCCATGTAATTGTTTTTACAGATTCATTGGGCATAATTGTGTGGGTCTGTTTTTGGATTTGCTACTCTGTTCCTGGGTTCTAGGCGTCTCTGCCTCTGCCAGCAACACATTGCATTGTTTTCTGTAGACATATAGCCACACCAGGCACAGGGATTCCTCTCACTTTACTCTTTTTGAAAATTGTTTTCACTATTTTTGGTCCTGTGCCTTTCCATATACGTTTTAGAATAAACTTGTTTATGTCTACAAAACATTTTGTTGGGACTTTCGTAAAAATTGTACTAAATCTGTAGGTCAACTTTTGAAGTACTGACATCTTTAATATGTTGAAATTTCCAATTCATGAACATGATATATATCCATTTATTTAGGTCTCCTTTGATTCTTTTCATCAGCATTTTCTAAATTTTAGGATACAGATCTTTTATGTATTTTGTTAAAATTTGTACATAATTTCGTACCTAAATATTTCCTTTTCTATGAGATAATTTTAAATCATATTGTGTTTTAAAGTCCATCTCCACATGTCTGTCGTTAGTATGTTTTTGTGTGTTGATCTTATATCCTAAAAACTTGCTGAATTCACTTAACTAGTTCTACTCAGAAAATCATGTCATCTACAAACTGGGAGTGTTTTAATTTTTCTTTTATTTCTTTTTTTTTTTAAATAGAGAACCCACAGTTTAGTTTTATTAAGAGGAAAAAAAAAGAAACTTTCAATCATACCAGAAGAAACTTAGCCATACACTTGGAAACTACTCAGATTGCTCATGCAATGATGACAGTATTCTGCTAACAGAATTGATTTGCTGCTGCATTTGTCTAACATTAGAAACTGTAAGCACAGCAGTACAACTAGTGTTTGGAGCTGTCTTTATAGTGTTACAGTGTCAGACACATTTTGCTTCTCATCACACCACAGTTCTCTTAGTGCACCTCGGCTTCCTTCTCTTCCATAAAGTCATTTTGATATTGAAGGACTTGTCAGTTTCCTTAGGAGCTTTCCCCTTGATCATATTGGCAAGAGTGCTGTATGTAACATCAAGGAAACTTGATGTCTAAGTAGTCTGCAGCCAGAATAAGTTTAAAAAGTGCTCCTTGGTCAACTTTAAGGAATTCCTGATCCCAGACAGGAGTATGGTCTGTTCCCCTTTCTTTGTTCTCATCACCCTGGGGAGGAGGAGGGTCGTCCTTGTGGTGAGTGCACCACTGAATGACCTTTTTAAACACTGCTGCATTAATATTTGGTAGAGGAACTAGGTCATCATATCCTTCATCATTCATCATCCACTCAAAATCTTCCAACATGGTTTTGATAATCACAGATTATTTCTCAATTTCCAAATCAACTTCAAATATCTCTCCATCAGAACTCTGCATCACGAATGGGGCAACTTTTTGTTTTTTGTTTTTTGTTTTGAGATGGAGTCTCGCTCTGCAGCCCAGGGTGGGGTGCAGTGGCGCGATCTCGGCTCACTGCAAGCTCCGCCTCCCAGGTTCATGCCATTCTCCTGCCTCAGCCTCCCGAGTAGCTGGGACTACAGGCGCCCACCACCACGTCCGGCTAATTTTTTGTTTTTTTAGTAGAAACGGGGTTTCACTGTGTTAGCCAGGATGATCTCAATCTCCTGACCTCGTGATCAGCCCGCCTCCGCCTCCCAAAGTGCTGGGATTACGGGCGTGAGCCACGGTGCCCGGACACAAATGGGGCAACTTTTCCAAAAGCTGCAACTTCTAGATCAGGAATATACTGTTCTTTGTAAAAGGCAACAGTTTTTTCTTTGCCAGGGGGATTCAGTAATGTGATTCTACCTACATTGTTTCAAGAAATGTTACAAGAAAAATCTAAGCAACACTCTCGAATTTTGGGGACTTATCAGTTATTCCTGCTGATGTGTAGCCAAGGACCCTGAAAAAGATTTTTAACTTGCCAACTAACAAGACATCACTTACACAGTAAAATATTTCAAAGTTAGATTTTAAAAAATACTTTGTAAGCACTTACAGTTCAAACAAGCAACATGTTATTCCAGTTACACATTTTTACAACAATGCATACAGTGAGTCAGCTCAGAGCCTCATTCACAAAATAATTTACCTTCTTATTCCTTTAGGATAAATTTTACCTAAACCTCTGTTAGACGTATTTTTAACAGAAACACAGACCAAGCACTTCATACAGGCACTTCAGGTGCTACTCAGTAGCTGCTAGAACATCCTTTCTATTTAGCTAGAAGCTAAGGGGTTGTTGGGAGAAGGGGCATGGCGGGAGGCAGATAGAAAGAGGAAGCAGCTCCTACCTGTCAACAAAGCATTGTATTTACTTTTGGTTTTAAGTGACCATTTTCTAGGTCTCACCAAATGCACTTTTTAATGACAATATTTTAAATTACAAATATGCAATATTCTGCTTAGACCTTAAGAGGCTTTATGAAAACGAAAGCATAACCTTGTTTTCATGGTAAAGGGGATTTTGAATTTTTTTTAAAGCTAAAATAAGTTGAGATACACACGTAGAGACACATGCACACATATATCCAGATTAATGAAGAAATCATATTGTGAAGTCTCTAACATCAGAGGTCTATTTTTAGTGCTAAGGTTAAACAAATAATCAGTAGTTTTCATCTTATTTTAGTTCTGAAATGTATATGCTCTTTTAACCATGAGTACCTTGAAGATCAAAGTGTTACCTAGCATGAAGGGGAACTTTGCTCATCTGTTAAAGATGTCTTCAGAATTTAAGTGAACTCTATCTTGCAGTCTCTGGGAGGAAAATCGCTTGAAAATGGGCAAAAGAAAGCATGAAAAATCAGACAGGGTACAGTGGCTCACACCTGTAATGCCAGCACTTTGGAAGGCCGAGGTGGAGGGATCACTTGAGGTCAGGAGTTCGAGACCAGCCTGGCCAACATGGTGAAACCCCCATCCCTACTAAAAATACAAAAATGAGCCGGGTGTGATGGCAGGCGCCTGTAATCCCAGATACTCTGGAGGGTGAGGCAGGAGAATTGCTTGAACCCTGGAAGCAGAGGTTGCAGTGAGCCAAGATCATGCCACTGCACTCCAGCCTGGATGACAGAGCAAGACTGCAACCCCTGCCCCCCAGTAAAGAAAGTGTGAAGATTCGGGCAGTCTGCATAGATGCTATGGAAAAGAAAGACTGGATGCAGGCCAGGTTGGTTTGTTTGTTTTTTCCAAAGTTCATTTATTTATTTATGTATTTATTTATTTTTTCTGTGGTGAAATATGCATAACATAAAATTTGCCACTTTAACCATTTTAAAGTGTGTAATTAAGTGACTTTAAGCATGTGCACAGTGTTACACAAGCATCACTGCTATCTATTACCAGAAATTGTGGATAATCCCAAACAGAAACTGTGTAGTCAAAGTCCCCATATCCCATACTCCCAGCATGGAAGTTGAGACTTCCCTCTTATAGGGCTTCAGAGACAGGATAAAAGACTCTTTACATTCCTCCTCTTGTCATTGGTATTACCCAAGTGAAAGCATGTAGAGATCTCTGGTGGTGGGTGGGGTGCAGACGCATAGATCATGGTAATCTGCGTTTTACTTTCTGCTTCTGTGAATTTATCTATTCTAGGCACTTCATATATGTGGAATCATAAAATATCTGTCACTTTGCCTCTGCCTTATTTCACTTAGCGTAATGTTTCAAGGTTCATTCATGTTGTAGCAAGCACCAGGTATTTCATTCTCTTTTTAAAGCTGAATAATATTCCACGGTGTGTACATGCTGCATTTTGTTTATCCGTTCATCTGTCCACACACTTGGGTTGCTTCCACCTTTTGTTTATTGTGATTGATGCTGTTGTGCACGATGGTATACAAGTATCTGGTTGGGTCTTTCTTTGGGGTCTGTATCTAGAAGTGGAATTATTGGATCATATGGTAATTCTAATTTTTTGAGGAACCACCAAACTGTCTTTCACAGAGGATGCATCATTCCCTCCAACAGTTGCACAAGGGTTCCAAATTCTCACCAACACTTGGTATTTTCCATTTTTTTCCAATAACGACCATCCTAAGTGGGTATGAATTGGTTTCTAATTGTGGTTTGGCTTTGCAATTCCCTAGTGACCAGGTATGTTGAGCTTCTTTTCATGTGCTTATAGGCTATTTATACATTTTTGGAGAGACGTTGATTCAAGTATTTTGTCAATAAAAAAATTCAGTTAGTTTTATTGCTGTTTTGAATTGCAGAAGTTGTTTATTCTGGATATTAAACTCCTATCAGATATATGCTTCGTAAGTATTTCTGTGAGTTGTGTTTTTACTTCTTTTTTTTTTTTTGTGACAGAGTCTCGTTCTGTCCCCCAGGCTGGAGTGCAGTGGTGCGATCTCCGCTCACTGCAAGCTCCCCCTCCTGGGTACACGCCATTCTCCTGCCTCAGCCTCCCAAGTAGCTGGGACTACAGGTGCCCACGACCACACCTGGCTAATTTTTTGTATTTTTGTAGAGACGGGGTTTCACTGTGTTAGCCAGGATGGTCTCGATCTCCTGACCTCGTGATCCACCCGCCTTGGCCTCCCAAAGTGTTGGGATTACAGGCATGAGCCACCATGCCCAGCCTTTACTCTCTTGCTAGTAGTATCCTTTGATGCAGAAATTTTTTAATTTTGATGAGTCCAATTTCTCTACATTTTTCCTTTTGTTGCCTATTTTGGTGTCATATCTGAGAACACTGACAAATCTAATGTCATGAAGATTTTCCAATAGTTTCTTCTAAGAACTGTATAGTTTTAGCTCTTAAGTTTATGTCTTTAATCCATTTTGACTTAATTTTTGTATGTGATATAAGGCAAAGGTCTAATTCATTCATGTGCATGTGAATATCCCGATTTTCCACACCGTTAGTTGAAAAGACGGTCCTTGCCTCGCTGAATAGTTTCAGCACCTTTATTGAAATTCATTTGATCATGTATGTGAGGGTTTATTTCTAAGTGCTGTATTCCATTGCATTCATCTTTGTGTCTATCCTTATGGCAGTACCACAATATTTCATTACCATAGCTTTGTGGTAAGTTTTAAAATCAAGAAGTGTGAGAACTCCAACGTTGTTTCTCTTTTTTAAGATTATTTTGCATATTCTCACTCATAGGTGGGAATTGAACAATGAGATCACATGGACACAGGAAGGGGAATATCACACTATGGGGACTGTGGTGGGGTGGGGGGAGGGGGGAGGGATAGCATTGGGAGATATACCTAATGCTAGATGACGAGTTAGTGGGTGCAGCACACCAGCATGGCTCATGTATACATATGTAACTAACCTGCACAATGTGCACATGTACCCTAAAACTTAAAGTATAATAAAAACAAAACAAAACAAAACAAACAAACAAACAAACAAAAAGATTATTTTGGCTATTCAGGTTCCCTTGAGATTCCATATGAATCTTAAAAAGGGTTTTTTGTCTTTTAACCATGAGCATGGGATGTCTTTCCATCTGCTTAATATCTTCTTTAATTGCTTTCAGCAATATTTTGTAGTTTTCAGTGTACAAGTCTTTCACTTCCATGATCAACTTTATTCCTAGGTATTTTCTGTGATGCTATTGTAAGTGGGAATGTTTGTCTTATTACCTTTGCAGGTTGTTCATTGTTAATGTATAGCAACACAACTGGATTTGCTGATTGATTTTTTACCTGTAACTTTGCTGAATGTGTTTGTTAGATCTAATGCTTTTTCCTTGTTTGTTTTTGTGGAATCCTTAGGGTTTTCTACATAAAGATCACCTTAGTGACCAGACATAACATTACTTCTTACTTTCTAATTTCAAGTCCTTTTTAAATTTTTTTCTTGTTCATTTACTTTGGACAGAACACCCAGAGTTATGTTAATTGAAGTGGTAGGAGTGGGCCTCTTTATCTTGTTCCAGAGCCTAAGAAAAAAAAAAGTTCAGTCTATTAGCATCAAGTATGATGGTAGCAGGGAGTTTTCTTACATATATAGTGTTTATTATGTTGAAAAAGTTTCCTTCTACTTGTAGTTTATTGAGTTTTTTCTTTTTTAATTATGAGAGGATGTTGATCTTTTTCAAATGCTTTTCCTGAATCAATTGGGATGGTAATATGTTTTTTTCCCTTCCTTCTGTTAATTCAGCTTGCTAGTATTTTCTTTTTTTTTTTTTTTCTTTTTTTGAAACAGAGTCTCACTCTGTTGCCCAGGCTTGAGTGCAGTGGCATGATCTCAGCTCACTGCAACCTCTGCCTCCTGGGTTCAAGCAATTCTCCTGCCTCAGCCTCCCAAGTAGCTGGGACTACAGGCCTGTGCCACCACACCCAGCTAACTTTTTATATTTTTAGTAGAGACAGGGTTTCACCATATTGGCCAGGCTGGTCTTGAACTCCTGACCTCGTGATCCACCCATCTCGGCCTCCCAAAGTACTGGGATTACAGGCGTGAGCCACTGCACCTGGCCATCAGTTTGCTAGTATTTTCTTGAGGATTTTGTGACAATATTCCTAAGGGATATTGGTCTGTAGTTTTCTTTTTCTATACTGCCTTTTTCTGGCCTTGGTATCTGGGTAATGCTGGCTTCAGAGAATGTTCTCTCCTCCTCCACTTTTTGGAAGGGTTTGAGAAAGTCTGATGTAAATCTTTCTTTAAAATGTTTGTTAGAATTTACCAGAATAGCCCTCTGATCCAGGCTTTTCTTTGTCAAGAGAAATACTTAACACACTTAAATGTAAGGCACAAGTTGGTAGCTGGTTTCAATCCCATCTCCAGCTGCCTGACTCCAAACATGTATCAACAGACAGCATATGCTATCAGATCCCAGGGAGTCTTCTAATATTCTCTAGCTTGACCCACACAGGCCCTAAATGGGTAGAATAGGATTTGCCTGACCCTTAGGAGAGAGCATATGCAACCAGATTTCAGCAATTTTTATGTCATCCCCTAATCTGTCTCATGCAATCCCATCTAATACTAAATCTTGGAGAGTCTTATCTCTCCTAAACTGCTCCATTTCATCCTTTGTTTGGAGAGCTTGTATCACCCTCCCCTTTTATCCCACCATGTAGGTGAGAACCTGTGCAGGGAATCTATCTTATCCCTAACCTTGTCCACATGGCCCCATATCTTCCAGAGGAACATTGAAGCTGTATTGGCCCATGTAGGGTGGAGTCAGGCACACACAGCAGGCAAGGCCAACAACGAAGTCATTTGGTCTAGAAAGACACACCAAGTTGCTTATAGATTCAAGGAGTTTATTACAGAGACAATGAAAGGAAGAGTAGCCAAAGGTGACAGCTCCCAGCCCTTGTGCCACATGCCTAAAAGGGCACCACTAATGTAAAAAGGGTCAGATAACTGCAACATAACTCGTGGGAGACCACATTCCTGAGGAACAAATTCTAGATGACAGTAAAGGGCATTATGGTCTGTAGCTAAACCCTAGGTAGGAGTAGAGCAGAAAGCATCATTCCACATACCAGCAGGTAATAAGCAACTGTCTTATAACAACCTCCTAAGAGGGATAGGGAGGCAAATGGGTGATGGTATTGAGGCAGCTTCTCCCAAGCCTTTTTCTTATGTTCCAGGAGAATTGCAAGCTGCTATGGCAAGACTCAGATTAGAGGCAGTTCCATTTTTTTTTTTTTTTTTTTGAGACGGAGTTTCGCTCTGTCATTCAGGCTGGAGTGCAGTCCAAAGTGCTGGGATTACAGGTTTCACTGTGTTGGCCAGGATGGTCTCGATCTCCTGACCTCATGATCTGCCTGCCTCGGCCTCCCAAAGTGCTGGGATTACAGGTGTGAGCCACCGTGCCTGGCCAGCAGTTCAAATCTTTGTTGCTTGTCCTATAGGGATACATACAGAAAGGCCACCATGTGGCTTACGCCTGTAATCCTAGCACTTTGGGAGGCCGAGGTGGGCGGATCGCGAGGTCGGGAGATGGACACCATCCTGGCTAACATGGCGAAACCTCGTCTCTACTAAAAATACAAAAATTAGCTGGGCGTGGTGGAGGGTGCCTGTAGTCCCAGCTATTCGGGAGACTGAGGCAGGAGAATTGCTTGAACCTGGGAGGTGGAGGGTGGAGGTTGCAGTGAGCCAAGATCGCGCCACTTTACTCCAGCCTGGTGACAGAGTGAGACTGTAAAAAAAAAAAAAACAGCCACCCCATGATGGGGCTCTTCCCTTACACATTTCTGTTTATTTTTGCTATCAATTGTTGACAAAAGAGTGTTGAAATCTCTACCCTTTAATTGTGGGTTTGGCTATTTTTTCTTTTTGCACTACAGATTTGCTTAAGGCATTTTAAAGTTCTGTAATTTGGTGCATAAATATTTAGGATTTCGATGTACTCTTTCTGAATTGTCCCCTTTATTGTTAAGCAGTGTTCTCTTCATGCCTGGTAATATTGCTTTATCTGAACTTTATTTTATTTGATATTGAAGTAGCGACTCCAACTTTATTATGTTTAGTATTTTCATGTTGTAACTTTTTGCATTCTTTTACTTCTAACGTATTTCTGTCAAAATAGTATAGTTTCTTTTAGATAGTATATTGTTTGAACTTTTATTAAAGTTTAATGGACTCACTAAAGTTTAATGTCATTTAGGCTTATGATTCAGGGGCATCTACAGTGATTGATCCCATTTAGGTAATGGAAACAATAGTTTTGTTGTCAGTTTTGCTCAAAAGAAGTTAATATGAGGATTTCATTTGACCAAATCTAAAATTGTCTTTTCTTCTACCTTCAGAAGCATTAAAATCCATGTGGCTGGCCCACATTCTAAATTATTTTTCATTTAAATTGTACTGCACTACAAAACCAGAAGTGATCTTCAGGTAAGTTGGAGCAAAGAGAACCTCCATTGTTCCTTTTTTTTTTTTTTGACAGTCTCGCTCTGTCGCCCAGGCTGAAGTGCAATGGCACAATTCTGGCTCACTGCAACCTCCACCTCCCTGGGCTAAAGAGATCCTTCTGCCTCAGCCTCCTGAGTAGCTGGGACCACAGGCATGCACCACCATGCCTGGCTAATTTTTGTATTTTTTGGTAGAGATGGGGTTTTGCCATGATGGCCAGGCTTGTCTCGAGCTCCTGACCTCAGGTGATCCACCGCCCTCTGCCTCCATTGTTATTAGAGGAAGTGTGTGAACAGAAAGGCCCCAGGCGTCATTGATTACCGTCAAAAAGTATCCAGGAGGAAATCCTAGATAATCAGAAGTGGGCACTTGAAAACATTTCTCTCAAGACTCTGCTTTTACAGAACTTTACTTTGGGAAGTTTAGAAATGATGTATCTAATGTGGGAGAGTAAGGTGGAAAGTAAGGTACAGAATGTAACTAGGCACCGGCAATATTACTTAAAGCTGACAAACTAATTAGTAAAATTATAATTAACATTACAAATATAAAAACTTAGAAATAAAGGAAACTAAAATTGTAGGTTGAAGAATGAGTTGAAAGATAAACATACTGAGGCCGGGCATGGTGGCTCACGCCTGTAATCCCAGCACTTTGGGAGGCCGAGGCGGGTGGATCACGATGTCAGGAGATTGAAACCATCCTGGCTAACCCGGTGAAACCTCGTCTCTACTAAAAATACAAAAAATTAGCCAGGCGTGGTTGCGGGCGCCTGTAGTCCCAGCTACTCGGGAGGCTGAGGCAGGTGAATGGCGTGAACCCAGGAGGCAGAGCTTGCAGTGAGCTGAGATTGTGCCACTGCACTCCAGCCTGGGCGACAGAGTGAGACTCCATCTCAAAAAAAAGAAAGATAAACATACTGATTTTGTCATTGGTTATGAAATAGGAATTACTAAATAATGTTTAAACAAACATTGTCCTGTTAAAATTGCTCCAAATAATGGGAGTGTTCTATACTTGGATTTTCAACACAATAGTTAATTGACACAAGTAGCTATTGGGCACATTAAATGTGGCTAAAGTGACTGAGGAACTGATTTGTTGTTATATTAAATAATAAAGGCAAAGAGTTACATGTGGTTCATGACTCTCATCAGGCCACAGAGCTCTAACTAAATAGATAATTATGGAAATTATGTAAGATTCTAGTCAAGAATTATAAAGGGCATGACATTTTACCCTATCTGCAAGCTAACATGTTAGCTTGCCAAGTTTCATGGATTCTGGCAGGAGATACAAGACTTCTGGGTCAAAGACAAAGGATTTTATTGCTCACGGCCACAATCATATCCAGGGCACCAGCATTTTTTTTGTGTTGTGATGGCATGCAGGGTACACGTATGACAAGCTTTCAGTATAAAATTATTTTTGGAAACAAAACATTTAAAAGGGATTAACAGCTTGTCTAGACTAAAGCAGACCACACTATGGATTTGTAGAGTGGTAGTGTGAACACCAAATGTCCATGCAATTGAGGTAAAACTTTTGTTTTAAGAATGTTGTCTCTTAATTCTTTTATCTACTAGTATCTTAAGCAGTGATTTCGGGGCCATATTAGGTTTTACAGGACTGGCCTAACATTGTTGCCTGGAATGTGGGTAGCAGCAGGATGGTAACAGTAGAGTACACACAAGAATTTTTGTAAGAAATCAAAACTAAAAACTCTAAGGAGTATGTCTAAGCCTCTTTGAATCAATAGAAACTAAATATCTTGAAAAGTAGGTGGAAAATGAGTTGAAGATGCATCAGGGAAATGACTGTTTTGGCAAAAATAAGTGAACAGATGGGAAAGAGGAAAATTGTAATTTGGTGGTGAGGATGATCACTGTTGAACAACACTGATATCATAAATAGACAACGGAGCCAAGATAGAGTGATGAACCCAATCCAGAGAAGTGGAAAATGACTTTTACTCCCACCAGTTTCATACTTCTGCTTGTGCATTTATGTCTGTGATGTGATAGGGATATTACAGCTTGGGTTATAAGTCTGTTCTTTAAATATAGGTAACTTTTGACATCCTAAATTTATTTTCATGATGAGTGGAATGGAAAAGGGAGAAGTCCAACCGGAAGTATATGGACTAATGAGTATCCTACCAATGTAATTTATACTTGACAGTTGGAGAATCTGGACCCTGTTATCCCTCTCTAATCTAAACCCTGTCTCTGATAAAGTCCTGACAATTTTTGTGCACTGATTTTTCTTTTTATTCTACTTACTCTTCACATGTCTTGTTTAGTTCACTATGTTATCTGATTTTCCATTCCTAGAATTAATCTTAAAGACTATTGTTCTCTATTCACTATTTCTTCCCTTTATTTCTCTTTCCACTGAGTTTTGAAAAATCACATTTTAAAATGCCAAAATACCTGTGTACATTCAATGCCAGTTTCCCAAAGAGAATTTTTCTGAACATATTTCTTTTCCAAATGAAGAAAATATAGAAAATATACACTTGGAATCACTTTATTCTGTGGATAATATGCCAGAAACCAAAATATCTAATCTGTAATAAGGCTTGTGTATATAAGTTTTATTTTATAAGAAAGGATTAAGAGACCTTATTTTTTATCATTTTTAGAGGACCATCAACTTGATAACATCTTAGAAAAGAGTAAAGAATTAAAAAAACCATTTATTTCAGTTTTATTCACAACTTTGGGGAGTATACTTGCTCCGTAAAGAGCAAAAGTATGTTTCTAGGAAACTATGAGATCCGGGCATAAATATATTTTCTTCAAGAAAACTGCCCTGTAAGTATGCACTGCAGGCCCTCATAACCTGAGTATGAATTCACTGGCCTTGTGTTATCAATATTTAAGAAAAAGAGATGGCTCTCCAATATTAGACATCAGAGAACAAACACTGGAAAGATATCCTGTAAGAATTGTCAAAACTTGAAAGCTCTTAGAGCTGTTGAGTGATGCCAGGGAAAATGGTAAGGTAGAAAGCATCAGGGCTCATCCTCCACAGAAACACACACACAAAAACAGAGCAAAATCTGTCAGAATCAACTTTCTCAGAACTCTGAAAAATAGTCACAGTTTACAGCAACTGAGCAAATGCTACGCCAAAACAGAGGCAACTGAAACATGTGTTTAAGGAAATCTCTGTCAAGCCACTAGCTGACCACAAGATAAAGGAACAAAAACTTCAGAGGCTATCTTAGTCCATTTGGGCTTCTGTAACAAAATACAATAAACTGGGTAGTTAATAAACAGCAGAAATTTATTTCTTACAGTTCTGGAGGTTAGAAAGTCCAAGATCAAGGTGCCAGCCTGCCCTTTCATAGACAGTGCCTTCTCACCGTGTCCCTACATGATGGAAGGGGCTACTCAACTCTCTGAAGTTTCTTTTATAAGGACATTAATCCCAATCACGGAGTATCAGCTCTCAAGATCTAATCATTTCCCAAGGCCTCACCTCTTCACACCATTACCTTGGCGGTTAGGATTCCAACATAGGAATTTTGAGGGAAGACATATACCATAGCAGGTGCCATGAAAAACAAAGAATACAGTCTTTAAAAAACTGGTTTATAAAAGTCAGTATACAAATAAGCAACTACAAACCATGGTGAACAACAGTAACAGAACTTTAAAAGAGAAAAACATATTTTCAGAGTGACCACATTATAACATTTAAAATGTCCAGTTTTCAACAAAATATTCTAAGTCATGCAAAGACATAAGAAAAAAATGGCTAATTTACAGGAAAAGAGAAAAGAGAAAGTATCCTTGAGCAAGAACAGACATTGAACTTTATAGACAAAAACTTTAAATCAAATGTCCTATAGATGCTCAAAGATCTTAAAGGAAACCATGGAAAAGTAACAAAAGGAAAGCAGAATGCAATGTATAAAAACTAGAAAATATCATCAGGGAAGTGGAAACATAAAAGGAACAAAATAAAAATTTAGGAAATGAAATGTACAATATGCAAGATGAAAAGGTCACCAGAGGCTTTCAACAATACATTTGAGCAGGCAGAAGGTAGAATTAACAATCTTGAAGATAAGTCATTTGAAATTCTTCAGTTGGAGAAACAGAAAGAAAAAAGAATAAACAATAATGAACAGAGCTTGAGAGACCTGTGAGGCATCATCAGACATACTAATGTATGCATACTGAGAAAAAAAGGAGGGAAAGAAAATGACTGAAACTTTCCAAACTTGATTTTTTAAAATGAATCTACCTATCCTAGAAGCAGCAAAATGGTGCTGGAAAAGTAGATATCTATATGCAAATGAATGAGCTGACCCTTACCTTACACCATATACAAAAATTAACTCAAAATGGATCAGAGACCTAAACGTTAAGTGCTAAAACTCTGCAACTTTAGAACACAATGGAGGAAACTCTTCACAACACTGGATTTGGCAATGGTTTTCTAGATCTGACATAAAATGTACAGGCAGCAAAAGAAAAATAGATACATTGGAATTTATCAAAATTAGTAACTTTTGTGCATCAAAACAGTCTCAGTAGAGTGAAAAGGTAATACACAGACTGGGAGAAAATGTTTGCTAATCACATATCTGATAAGGGATTAATATCTAGAATATATAAATAATTCCTACAATGTGACAACAAAAAGAAACAATCTAGCTTGAAGATGTGCAAAGGACATGAATAGAGACATTTCCCCAAAGAAGATATACAAATGGCTTACAGACACATGAAAAGATAGCCAACATCACCAGTCATGAGGGAAATACAAATCAAAATCGCGAGATACGACTTCACACTGATTAGAATGGTTATTATTTAAAAAAAAAAAAACAAGTGTTGGTCAGGATGAAGAAAAATTTGAATGCTTGCACATTGCTGGAATGCTATAGCTGCTGTGGGAAACAGCGTAGCAGCTTCTCAAAAATTAAACAGAGAATTACCATATGACCCAGAAATGGCACTTGTGGGAATATATCTAAAGAAATTGAAAGCAGGGACTTGAACAGATATTTATATTCTCGTGTTCCTAACAGCATTATTCACAACAGCTAGCACGTGGAAGTAACCCAAGTGTCCATTAATGGATGAATAGATAAATGAAATATGGTATATACATGCAATGGTGCATATTCAGCCTTAAAATAGAATGAAATTCTGATAGTTGCTATAACATGAGTGAACTCTGAAGACATTATGCTAAGGGAATGAAATAATCCAGTCATAAAGGACAGATATTGTATGATTTCACTTATATGGGGTATCTAAAGTAATCACACCCATAGATACAGAAATTAGGTGGTTGTCAGGGGGTGGGGGGGGAAGGAAGAGGAAGTTATGGTTTTTAATGGGTACAGATTTTCAATTAGGGAAGATGAAAAAATTTTGGAGATGGATGGTGGGGATGGTTGCACATCCATGTGAATATTCTTAATTCCACTGAACTGTACACTTAAAAATGGTTAAAATGATAAACTTTAGTTAATGATAAATTTTATGTTATTTTATCTCAAGAAATTCTTACTAAGCTATCATGAATGGATTTAGCAGCCGCTGATGAATATTGCCTACAACCATTATTTCAGGTTGCACGGTGGTGATAGTCTTTTAATCCTTGTGAAATTATTAACTCTATTTTTTCCTACAAAGAAGGCCTTTTCCTCTTTAACTCTGTTACCCTAAAACAGTTTGTACTGCATCACTTTTAATAATAGTCATGATTTTTTAATGATAATCAGTTTCATGCAGTTTGAATGAGCGTCGGGTGATATGGCTTCAAATTCAGAATATTTAAGAATCTCTGCTATTTGAAAAATGTGTGTAATATTTGTGAACTGAGAAAAGAACCCAAAGTAGCTTCAGAATAACAAGAAAATAGTTATTCTAGGCCCGGCGCGGTGGCTCACGCCTGTAATCCCAGCACTTTGGGAGACCGAGGCAGGTGGATCACGAGGTCAGGAGATCGAGACCATCCTGGCTAACACGGTGAAACCCCGTCTCTACTAAAAATACAAAAAATTAGCCGGGCATGGTGGCGGGTGCCTGTAGTCCCAGCTACTTGGGAGGCTGAGGCAGGAGAATGGTGTGAACCCAGGATGTGGAGCTTGCAGTGAGCCAAGATCATGCCACTGCACTCCAGCCCGGGCAACAGAGCGAGACTGTCTCAAAAAAATAGAAAGAAAAAGAAAATAGTTATTCTAGCCAGCCAGACTCGTAAGCAGCCATTCTGGTGGGTGTGTAAAGGGATAGTCATTCTTATTCTCTCTCAGTCGCACTCTCCATTGCTCTGATTACTCTTGTCTTGGTCTAGTTGGCCTGGGAGTGACGGACATTTTCACAAATTAACTTCTTGATTTGAATAAGAAATAATTACTTTAAAAAAAGGAAAGGACCCATATCACTTTGCCTTCTTCATCACTGAGGTTTGCTTGACAGTCTAGCTCAGACAAAAGAGAAGGTGTTTGCTAGCCTGGCTTGTGGTAGGCACTTCTCAGAGTAAAGCCAAAGGAACATTCTTAATGGCTTCAAGTGTCTGCACTTGACTTTTATGTCTTCCTCAAATGGGATAAAATCTTTCCCATAGTGAGCGCTGGTTTTCCTAAGTGGGGGCTTACCCTCCATTCTATTCTGCACATGATCTCTTCCCTCCCACCTTTTGAGCGTGAGTGTCAGTGTTACCTCTTCAGAGAAGCCCCTGCCAACTACGAGAATTCCTGTCCTTGTCTTCTGCTCTGTTGTCTCTCATCATAGTCCTTATCATCTCCACCTCTAGATGCTAAGCTAGGGGAAGGTAGGTAATGTCTTGTTAATTACCAGAAATCCACTGCCTGGTAGTATCTAGCAGATTTAGGTCCTTGTTCCTTTCTCAAGAAATATTTGAGCACATATATGCTCAGTGAGACAAAGACAAGCTCCCTGTCCTCAGGAAGTTGCCATTTTGTTGTAGTCAACATACTTAGGATACTTTGTGTAGTGAGAGAACTATGAGAAAAAAGAAAGATAATAACAGAGGTGAGTAGTGCTACTATGGATGGTCACAGACTCAATTAGCTTAAATTCTTTGATAAGATACTTCATGGAATAAAGTAGAAGCCTGGAAGCAAGTCTCACTGAACTTCACAAAGACCTGTTCTTACAGCATAAAGCAATGCAATTCAAAACACAATAAACAGACTTTGGTTTCTGGTCTGACATGCAAGGAGTTTGGAAGTCATTATTCTTATCTTCCGCAAGAATAAGGTTGAACAAACTGAAAACTAACAACTCTTCTTAGCTCGAGTAGAGAATTGAGATCATGGGACAAACTGTTATCAGGACAACTGGAGAAACAGACAGGCAGATACAGAGAATCACAGCTTACCAGGAGCAGATTCCCAGAGGGAGATGTCCACAGCAGTATGGGTAGCAACATTTTAAACTGTAATTCGTAAATTGCTAGAGGCTCAATGTGGACTAAATTTAGAGTTAAGAACTCAGAAGAAACCTGGTCTTGGAGGCAGCCCCAACACTTCGCAGAGTTTTACTTGCAAGATCCCTACCAGGTTCTCAGTATGGAGATCAGAGAAAATTCCTTTGATGATTTTTCTCAGGGTGGAGGGGAAAAGTAACCATTTTTGAGACGTGCTCAGAGCTCTCTGCTCCCCTTAACAAGGCCCACACTCAGGGGAACTACTTTACCAGAACCCAGCCTAAAGGATTTTTATGAAAACCTAAGTGACCTGGGGAAGGCAATCCCCAATCCCAGCCCCCTTCAGACTTTAACACGGAGGAAAAGAAATACATAACTTCAGTTCACTAAAAGACTGGGATCTAATCAGAGGATTATAGAAGGCTTGCCCTCCTCACACTCATTACTACTGCATCAGTAGAGCTCCTGCATGATAGCCTGGAATTACAGTTAAAAGAACTGCAGGCTCAGACCCTATTTCTGGAGTCTATGAACACCCAAAGACAAGATGGGAGACAGAAACAAGGACACTAGAGGAAACTTTTGCTTTTGACATCACAGCTACCACAAACAGGAAACACAGTTTAACTCTTAGCCAGATAAACATTAAACTTTACATTAAAGATCTATCTACTGCAGTTCCTTTTATCTGATACATAGTATTCGGCTTCCAATAAAAATTGCAGTGCATTAAAAGGCAAAAATAACACAATCTGAAGAAACAAAGCAAGCATCAGAACTGGACTCAGAATTGGCAGAGGTTTTGGAATTACCAGACTTGAAATGTAAAATGACTCTGATTAATATGCTAAGGGCTATAATGGAAAAAGCAAATACCATGCAAGAACTGATGGATAATGTAAACAGGGAGATGTAAGCTCTAAGAAAGATTCAAAAGTAAATGTTACAATTCAAAAACGATGAAACAAAAATGAAGACTGCTTTCATGTGCTCATCAGTAGATGGCATATAACTGAGAAAGACTCTGTGAGCTCAAAGATATGTCAATATATACTGCCAAACGTTAAATGCAAAGAGATAAAAGATTTTTTAAAAACAGAACAGAATATCCAAGAAGGTGAGATAATTACAAAAGTAACATACATATAATGGGAATACCAAAAAGAGAGGAAAAATGAAGATAAGAAATAGTTGAAGTAATAATGGCTGATAATTTTTGAAAATTAATAACAGGCACCAAACTATAGACCAGGAAACTAAGAGAACACTTATCAGGATAAATATCAGATAACATACACCTAAACATATCATATTCAAACTGTAGAAAAATAAAAAACAAAGAGAAAATCTTGAAAGGAGGTGGGTCGGGGGAGGGGATGTTACATGTTGTGAAACAGAGTAACAACCACATCAGACTTCTCTTCAGAAAGCAGGCGAGTGACAGTGGAGTGAAATATTTAGTGTTGGCTGTGGCTCACGCCTGTAGTCCCAGCACTTTGGGAGGCCAAGGTGGGTGGATCATGAGGTCAGGGGATTGAGACCATCCTGGCTAACACAGTGAAACCCCGTCTCTACTAAAAATACAAAAAAAAATTAGCCAGGCATGGTGGCGGATGCCTGTAGTTCCAGCTACTCGGGAGGCTGAGGCAGGAGAATGGTGTGAACCCGGGAGGTGGAGGTTGCAGTGAGCCAAGATCATGCCACTGCACTCCAGCCTGGGCGACAGAGCAAGATTCTGTCTCAAAAAAAAAAAAAAAATTTTTAGTGTTGACAGAAAAAAATTTGTCAACTTAGAATTTCACATCCAATGAACAACTCTGTGCCCACAAATTCTATAACATAGATGAAATGGACCAATTCCTTAGAAGACAAATATACCAAAACTCACACAAATAAGAAATAGACTACTTCAGTAGGCCTATATCTATTAAAGAAATGGAATTAATAATTAATAACTTTTTATAAAAAGCTCCAAGCCAATATAGTTTCACTGGTGAATTCTGCCAAACATTAAGACAGAAATTCTCTACAATCTTTTCAGTAAAATAGAGGGGATGCTTTCTAACTAATTCTATAAGCCAGCAGTGGCCTAAGACTAAAATCAGACAAAGATATTAAAAGATAAGAAAACCATAGACCAATGTTTCTCATGAATATGGAAGCAAAATCCCTCAACAAAATATTAGCAAATAGAATTCAACAATATTTAAAAGGAATTATATACCATAATTTGGATTTATCTCAGGTATGTATGCACAGCTGTTTCAACATAGAAAATCAATTAATCTGGCCTGGGCATGGTGGCTCACACCTGTAATCCCAGCACTTTGGGAGGCCAAGGCAGGCAGATCACGAGGTCAGGAGTTTGAGACCAGCCTGACCAACATGGTGAAATCCCGTCTCTACTAAAAATACAAAAATTAGCTGGGCATGGTGGTGTGCATCTGTAGTCCCAGCTACTCAGGAGGCTGAGGCAGGCGAATCACTTGAACCCGGAAGGCAGAGGTTGCAGTGAGCCAAGATCACGCCACTGTACTCCAGCCTGGGTAACAGAATGAGACTCCATCTCAAAAAAAAAAAAAGGAAAAAGAAAATAAATTAATCTAATCCATCTTGTCAACTGGTTAAAGAAAAAAATCATACAATCATATCAATAAACGCAGAAAATGCATTTGACAAAATCCAATCCCCATTTATGATAAATACTCTCAGCAAACAAGGAATAGAGGGAAGCTCCTCAACTTGATAAAGAACATTTACAGAAAACTCATAGCTGACATCATAGTTAAATGCTGAGAAAGAAAATGCCCCTAAGATAGTAATCAAGGGAAGGATGTCCCCTCTCACCACACCTATTCAACATCATACTGAAAGTCCTAGCTAATGGAACAAAACACGAAAATGAAGTAAAAAGCCTACAGATAGGGAAGGAAGAAATAAAACTATCTTTGTTTGCAAATGATATGATTGTCCCTGTAGGAAACCCCAGAGTTGACAGACAAACATCTGGAACTAAGTGATTATTAGCAAGATTGCAGCATACAAGCTTATTATACAAAAGTCAATTACATTCCTATAAGCCAACAATGAAAATTGGAATTTGAAATTTGAAACACACAATTTATATTATCATTAAAACAATGAAATACTTAGGTATAAATCTAACAATATGCATGCAAGATCTATATGAGGAAAAGTACAAAACTCAGATGAAAGAAAGAAATAACTAAATAAATGGAGAGATATTCCATGTTAATGGATAGGAAGATTCAATATTGTTAAGATGTTAGTTCCTACCAACTTGATCAATAGATTCAACACAATCTCAATAAAATATCAGCAAGTTATTTTGTAGACATCAAAAAACTGATTCTAAAGTTTATATGGAAATGCAAAAGACCCAGATAGTCAACTCAATATTGAAGAAAAAGTCAGAAGACTAATACCACCTGGCTTCAAAAATTACTATAAAGCTACAGTGATCAAGGCAGTGTCATGTTGGTGAAATAACTGACAAGTATTAATAGATCAATGGAACAAAATAGAGAACCCAGAAAAAGACCTACACAAGTATCAGCAACTGATCTTTGACAAAAGAACAAAGACAATACAGTGGAGAAAAGATAGCCTTTTCTACAAATGTTGCTGGCACAATGTGAAATAAAAAAAGTTATGCTCCAAAGTTGCTTCCACATTTTCAGGTATCTTCATAGCAGTACCCCACTCCTGGTTCCAAATTCTGTATTAATCCATTCTCACACTGCTATAAACAGCTACCTGAGATGGGGTAATTTATGATGAAAAGAGGTTTAATTGACTCATAGTTCTGCAGGCTTACCAGGAAGCATGACTGGGAGGCCTCAGGAAACTAACAATCATGCCAGAAAGTGAAGGGGAAGCAATCACATCTTTACCATGGCAAAGCAAAAGAGAGAACGAAGGGGGAAGTGCCACACACTTTTAAACCATCAGATCTTGTGAGAACCCACTATCACCAGAACAGCAAGGGGGAAATCTGTTCCATGATCCAATCGCCTCCCATCAGGCCCCTCCTTTAATTTGACATGAGATTTGGGTGGGGACACAAATCCAAACCATATCAGGCAGTGAAACTATTTTTTATGATACTGTAATGGTGGATATTACATCATTGCATTGGTGGAAATCGCACTAAAAGACATGCATTTGGCAAAACTCAGAACTGTAGAACAGACAGAATGAAAGCTAATATAAACTATGTATTTTAAATGTACTAAACTAATGCAATATATTAATAATAGGGGAAACTGTGTGTGGGTTGATGAGCGGAGGTATATGGGAACTCTGTGCTTTCTGCTCAATATTTCTGTATACCTAAAACTGCTCTGTACATCTATTAATATCCCAGCACTTTGGGAGGCTGAGGTGGACAGATCGCTTGACCCCAGTAGTTTGAGACCAGCCTGGGCAACATAGTGAAACCCCATCTCTACAAAAAAAAAATACAAAAGGCCAGGCACAGTGGCCCACGTCTGTAATCCCAGCACTTTGGGAGGCCGAGGCAAGGTGGATTACGTGAGGTCAGGAGTTTGAGACCAGCTTGGCCAACATGGTGAAACCCTGTCTCTACTAAAAATGCAAAAAATTATCTGGGCGTGGTGGCACATGCCTGTAATCCCAGCTACTTGGGAGGCTGAGGCAGGAGAATCGTTTGAACCCAGGGGGCGGAGGTTGTGGTGAGCCGAGAATTGCACTGCAGCCTGGGCAACAAGAGTGAAAATCCGTCTCGAAAGAAAAAAAAAAAATTAGCCAGGCATGGTGGCCCACACCTGCAGTCTCAGCTACTCAGGAGGCTGAAGTGGGAGAGTAGCTTGAGCCCGGAGACGGAGGTTGCAGTGGGCCGAGACAGCGCCACTGCACTCCAGCCTGGGCGGCAGAGCAAAACCCATCTCAAAAAAATAAAATAAAATAAAATAAAATAAGAAAAGTCTATTAATTAAAAAAAAAGTTATAGTACCTATCTATTCCTAATTCTTTAAACAGTCAGATGGGTATACACGTTTCAAAAAAGGTTTCCTCATGAAAATGCAAGGTTGGTGTAATAATCATTTTCATATTTTGGGTTGCATGTGTTTTCACGCATCACATATGTATTTTGAACAGCTAGCTTCCTCCTCCAACCCCCATAAACCCTGCTGATCACAGATGTTACTCGTTTATGTTTTCTAGTATTTGTTCGATTTCACAACCTTATTCATAAAGCTATTTTTATGTACTTTTACTTCCCTTGGCAACTTTGAATTTAACGGCATACTTCCGAAGGGATAGTAAAGCCTCTCCACTCCCCCTGCACTGCACTGCCCCACACGTCTTTTACTGAGTATGAAAAAAAAAAAATCAGACCCTCAGAATGGTAGAAAATAGTAAAATGAGCATCATAAGCACGTATTATACAGATTTAACAATTCTTCACTTATTACTATATCTGCTTTCATTGTTTTGAGAAATTTTTGAAGTATTTCAATTAAACTACAAGCATACAATTGTAAATGTTTCTGTACATATCTTTTAAATATAAGAACAATGTCCTACATCGTCTAGCTATTATTCTCAAAGTAACGGTAATTTTCTTTAATATTTCTAATGTCCTGTCGATAGTCATGTTTCCCCAATTGTTAATGTCTGTTTAAGGTGCTTTTTTCTCCAACCAGGATCGCATCAAGAACCACACTTCGCAGTTTGTGGTCATGCTGACAACCTCCGGGAATTTGGGAAATCCCTGGGCTCCGAAGGTCCCTCCCAGCCGGTCAAAGCAGCAGAAAAAATTATAGTACTTCCTTCGGACGCACGGGCTTACGGGAACTGTAGTTACTGTAGTTTTCAATGTTAACGCGCCTACCGCGCAGCACTTTGGGAATGGGGTTTCGGGGCTCGCTCTGCGCATGTGTAAACCCAGCCCCACCTCCTGCCGTCTGCCCTCCCGGGCCTGAAAGGGACACGGTGTCCGAGTCTTTAGGTCTGCGCGGGAGCCGAGGCTGCGCACCTGGGGTGAGAGCGTCGGTGACAGGGCTCCGCGCGGCCCAGGAACCTGGGGACGGGCGGGCTTGTGTGCGGAGGACAGCAGCAGGCAGTCTCAGGAGTCCCCAGGATGGCCCTCCCCTCTCCTCCCCGGCCCAGTGCGCGGGCCCAGGCCGAGTCCTGTCCGCAGGTGTAGGGGCTGCCGGGCCCCGCGGGGTTGCGGGCCGGGAAGAGGAAATGTGCGTGGATGAGGTTGACGGCGAACAGGAGGAGGTTACTAGTAACTCGTGTTCCTATTCTGAAAATTAAATAAGTTGTCACCTGTAAAGCATTTTGTTAAGTGTCTGTAATAGTCACTATGTGAAATGTAAGCTGCTCTCACAATTATGAGACACTTATTCTCATCGTTTGGTATTTCACCTGACCCTCACAACGACCTCTTTGGTATAAACGTTCCATTTTAAAAAAATGGACGAAAGTTCATGGGGATGGGTACCCCAGGGCACACACTAGTAGGTGAGATGCAAATGCTGAGAGATGTGACTCCCTGTCCTGCTCGTTCTAACATGCTGTCTGCCTGAAACCCAGACTTGCCAGTACCTGCCTAAAGCCTTCAGAGCGCTTATGCAGAGTGGCCTGTCACCAGATCTGTGTAGATGATTGTGAAGTAAATGTGGACAGAATCTCACCAAGTGGTAGATACATTCTGCGATTTGTCGGGTCTCTGATTCAGGCTGAGGCTCCTGAATCCTCTTGTACTGTTCCCGCTGTCTCCTCAAAGGCACAGATTGATATTCTGGTGCTGTGCTGTCCAATAGAAAGATAAGGCAAAACACAAATATAAATCAGAATTTTTGGCCAGGTGCGGTGGCTCATGCCTGTAATCCCAGCACTTTGGGAGGCCTAGGCCAGTGGATCACTTGAGGCCAGGAGTTCGAGACCAGCCTGGCCATCATGGCAAAAGCCCATCTCTACAAAAATAAAAAAATTAGCCGGGCGTGGTGGTGCACTCCTGTAATCCCAGCTACTTGGGAGGCTGAGGCAGGAGAATCGCTCGAACCCGAGGCGGACGCTGCAGTGAGCCAAGATTGCACCACTGCACTCCAGCCTGAGTGACAGAGTGAGACTCTGTCTCAAAAAAGAAAAAAAAGTTTAGAATTTTTCAGTAGCTACAGTAAAAAGAAGAGGCAGGCAAAGTCAGTTTTACTGCTTTATTTTACTTAACTCATTCCTTCCTAAATATTCGACTTGTAGCACTGGCCAAACTTCAGGTGTTCAATGGTTCTATGTGGCTGATGGCTGCAGTGCTGGATAGCACATTTCTAGTGAATCTCAAGAGTCAGGTTTAGGGTATTAGGTGAAGGTTTCAATTGAGTTTGTTTCTCAGGCCTAAGTCCCAGCCCCTCTGGAGCAAAGCAGCTCCTATGAGGCAGTCAAGAGGGAGTCCTAGGGACTACTGCCATAGAAGAACAGCCCATATGACCGAGACCTCTTCTAGAGCGTCAGAGCAGAGGCAGAAGATTCTAGAAAGGAGCAGGTCCTGATTGCTTCCCCAGAGGCAGTTGTTGACTCCCTATATATGCATCAGATTTTGTGATGTTGCCACATCCAGAAGCCATCACAGACCGTGTGACTTTGCTGTGGACTAACTTGCAGAAGGCAATTCCCAGGGGTTGAGAGGGATGAGTGACTATCAAGCTGGGTGGAAAAAGACACTTTACTGGAGGGCTGGTTAGGTCATGATATCCAGGGAAGATGTAATCAGCTGTCCAGATCCCAAACGGCAGCCTAGTTTCCTTTCTGCCTTCACTTCTTCCACATTGTGAGTCCCTCTCACACCGTGTTCATCACCACATGTGGCATTTAGAGTGATACTAATGCTGCCTCTTTCCGGGTAGTAGAGGAAGAATTTCCTATATTGGAAGCCCAAAAATATTGGGCCTGAAATTCCTTGCATAAAACATCCCATCTTTATTTTTTCCGTGGAAGTGCTAATTCTGGGTGTAAAGGCAGTAAGAACTTGATTAAGTCAGCCTGAGTAGTTCTTTTTTAAAAAAAATTATTTTTAAATTTATTTATTTTTTATTTTTTTCTATTTTTAGTAGAGACAGGATTTCGCCATGTTGACCAGGCTGGTCTTGAACTCTTGGCCTCCAGCAGTTCACCCCCCTCGGCCTCCCAAACTGCTGGGATTACAGGCATGATCCACCATGCCCGGCTGAGTAGTTCTTTGACATTAGCTTTAATGAAGGTAAACAGCTTCATCTCTGTGTACCTGAACTTGCTTAATCCTTTGTTTTATTTTTACTTTTTTCTTAGTCAAAAGGGAACATAATTGTTAATAAATCAACATAATTATTAGTAAATCAACAAAAAACAGTATTACTTTACTCAGTGAAAATGTAAGTTTAAGCGCACATAATCGTATCAGAGATGCACATATTCAGGTGTGGCTATCTTTGAGTGGTCCTTCTTGTCCCTTTTCAAGAGTCAAAGGGACATTCTGCATTGGGAATCCTTTTCTCCAGCTGAGTGCGATGATTTTTTTTTTTAGGCACATGAATAGGATTACATGCTCCTTGATTACAGTGGGGTTATGTCGCAGTAAAACCATTATCAAGTCGAACCATCTCATGTCAGGGACCATCTCTGTAAGAACTGAGAGGCAGACCAGGTCTCTCATGACCCCACTGCTCTTTCCTCCTCCCCAGCTGAACCTCCACAGTCCTCTACACTCTTCCAGGAGCAGCAGAAAATGAACATGTCTCAGGTGAGTTAGGTTTTTAAAAACCGGTTTATTTTACAATAGGTTTTGTAAGGGTTTATGTGTCCGTACATTAACATGGAAAAGTAGAAATAGAGATGGATCAGACACATTCCTAGAAGATGTAGAAATGCAGATGAATAGCAGAGCAAAGTGGCATGTGGATAGATGCAGATCCTCCGATATTACAAATTTACCAAATTAAGCTTCAGATTTATTTCTGAGGTTATTGACAGTCATGGTGGAGTGTCAGACAGACAATACTTAAAGGTTTACATTGATGAGAAAGATAAAGCCAACTGATTTATCATGGAATATAAACATAAAGATAACAAAATGTATTTATTGTTCTTCAAGTAGGTGACTTAGTTAATAAATTGCCAAATAACAGAATATTACTTCCTCAATAGAAGTAGAAATTGTAATGCTAAATTTGAACACGTTCAGTACTATTTTTCAAGTACTCCAGTGCAAGGGTTGAATTTAACATTTTTCTGATGAATCAACTGAATGTCTTTAAAATCACTCTCCATAAATATTTTGAGTACCCATGATATTCAGGTTGCTCAGCAGATGGTCCAAAATTGTTCTCTTTCAGATATTTCCACACTTAGCATTTAACGTCAACTCTCCATGGGATGCCTTGATTTTTTCTTGCCACTTGCCTGGGACCTCCAGTGTCCCTACCCATAGTATAATCAAATCCAGTGGATGTGGTCTTTTCCTTAACTTGCTTGGCTTTTCCGCAGCACTTGCCTCAATGTCTCACTCTGTCCTGGAACATTTCCGTTAGTGATACTTGCCCCTCACTGGTCCTTCCCCGGCTGATGTCTTCATGGAGCCACCTTCCTTGTCCTGTCACTCGGCTCAGCCTCAGTTTCTGTCCTTGGCTCTTTAGTCTTCTCTGTTGTCTCCAAATGATTTTGTCTTCCCTTGTTTTTTTCTTTTTTTAAAACTGCTTTTTTTGAGATTCAATTCATGTATCTTACCATGTACCCATTTAAAGTGTAGAATTCAGTGATTTTTTTAGTACATTCTCAGATAATGTACTAATATCACTGCAGTCAATTTTAGAACATTTTTATTCCCTTAGAAAGAAGCTGTGTACACTGTAACTACCACTTGATTCCCTCTGAGCCCCAAACAACCACTAACCTACTCCTCTATCTCCATAGTTTTGCTGAACCATTCCCTTTATTATTTCTTATAGGCAGTCTTGCCTGTGATGAATTATCTCAGGTTTTGTTTACCTGGGAAAATTCCAGTTTCTCTATTTTTCCTGGATATAGAGGTTATTGGTTGACAGTCTTTGTTTCAGCACTTTGAATATGTCATCCCATTGCCCTCTGTCCTCCATAGTTTCTCATTATAAATCAGCCTGTAATATGATGACTTGTTTCTCTGTTACAGCTTTCCGATTGTCTGTCTTTTTAACACTCTGATTCTCATGTCCAGGTGTGGATTTATCTTTTCTTTTTTCTTTTCTCTTTTTCTTTTCTTTTTTTTTTTTTTTTTTTTTTTTTGAGACAGTCTCTCGCTCTGTCACCCAGGCTGGAGTGCAGTGGCATGATCTCGGCTCACTGTAACCTCCACCTTCCGGGTTCAAGCAATCCTTGTGCCTCAGCCTCCTAAGTAGCTGGGATTCCAGACATTCACCACCATGTCTGGCTAATTTTAGTATTTTTAGTAGAGATGGGGTTTTACCATGTTGGCCAGGCTGGTCTTGAACTCTTGGCCTCAAGTGATCTGCCTACCTCCTAAAGTGTTGAGATTACAGGTGTGAGCCACTGCTCCCAGCGAGTGTGGATTTCTTTCTCCAAGTTTATCCTACTTAAAGTTTGTGAAGCATTTTGGGCATGTAGATTTATCATTTATTTCAGATTTGTGGGGTTTTTTGGCCATTACTACTTCTGATATTGTTTTAGACCCTTTCTGTCTCTATTCTGTTAGTCTATTTGGCATATGTTGATAAGCTTGATGCTGTCCAACTGTTCATTTCTTGTTATTTTTCCTTCTGTTTCTCACTGCATAATCTCAGTGGGCATGTTGTCCAGTTGCTTCATTCTACCCGTTCAGACCTGCTGTTGAACAGGTGTTTTTGGTAAAATATTTGTTTTAGTTTTGTACTTTCCAACTTTAAAGTTTCTATTTGGTCCCTTTTTATAGTTTCTGTTTATTTATATCCTTTATCTGGTGAGATATTATTCTAATACTTTCCTTTGGTCCTTACATATCATTTCCTCTAAGTCTTTGACCATATGTAACATAGTTGATTTAAAGTCATCGTCTGTTTAAGTCCAATGCCTGCTTCCTCGTGAGTAGTTTCTATTGATTGTACTTTTTTCCTGCATATGGGTCTTACTTGTTGTTTCTTTTCTTGTTTTGCATTTTTTGTTGAAAACTATACATTTTAAATAAGGTGGCAACTCTAGAAAACTTTCTTGATTTGCAGGAGTTGTTGTTGAAATTTGTCTAGTGACTTTTTAATTGATTCAGTAGAGCCTGTGTTTATTGTCATGTGTGGCTGCAGAAGTCTGCAGAAATTTTCTTAAATGCCTGAAACCTTAAGTAAGGCTCTCAGTCTTTGCCAAAGAGCCTCATGAGTGCTGGGGCATTCCTTCAACAGACATCCAGGCAATTTATAACCCCATGTTAACCTTCACTTCCTTCACTTCCAGTTCACCCCAAACCTTAGGGTCACCCAGGGTGACAGTTTAGGGCCTTCTCACATCTTTCCAGAGCATAATCACAGCCCTGGGCATATGCTCAGCTCTATGCATGTAGGTGACCTAGAGTCTCTAGAATCTATAGGAGCTTTTCAAAAGCTTTATGAACATCCCATTCTCCAGTTTTTCCTTTCTAAAAAGCTTTTCAATTAGGCTGTTATTTATGTCAGGTGTTATCCACCGCCTCAGTTAGCTGCTGAGTTAAACAATTGCCTTTGAATGTTTTTGGCAAATGCCTTCAAGAATAAGGCTTTTCACACTGGGGAACTCTGACTTAATTCAATCAGCCTTTCAAGTCAGCTCTTCCAGGGAACCACAGATTAGGTCAGATAATGAGGATTTTCTGGGAGTGAGGCTTTGGCCAACCTGTGACCCAGTCTGCCTCATCCAGTGGATACCAGGCCGCTGGATTCTCCTGTTGTTTCAGATGTTTCTCAAAGCTAATGCCGAGTGGGAGTGAGAGGGATGGATATAGGGCAGGTTGAAATGACACAAGATCATTGTTCTTACTGTGATGCAGCTGTTTTTCTCATATCAATGTTCCGCAGATTGCTGTAAGCCTTTGGTAGCTTCTAGAGTTCTGAAAAAGTTGATTCTGCAGTTTTTGCCGGTTTCTCATTGCTTTTATGGAAGAAGGAATTTTCTTGGATCTTCAGTATCTTCACCGTCATCACTTGCTAATTTGAATTTGAAGTCTTCTTGTTGTGGAAACTTTCTCTTTTCTCAATTTCTAAGACTCTGCCCCCTCCTGATTCTGTTATTATTTTTTGGAAAACATCTCTGGCTTTGTGGCCTGTACTTTTTCTGCTTTGTGGTTCCTCAGGTGTTGTTTTTGGTTCTTTTCTTTCTTCAATCCCTGTGTGCTCAAGGAGCTGTCTGTCTCTGCTAATTTTACTCACCACCTAAATTGCTAGTAACTCCTAAATGCTTATCTTCATCCCCATCTTACCTTCTGTGCTCTAAAATCATATGTATCCTGGTTGAACGAACAGTTCTAGCTACGTATCAACATGAACAGAACTCTCACTGAATCTTCTAACACGTTTTCTTCTTTCCCAGATACCAGTTTTGGCACCACCAAGCAGCTGCTTATTTTGAAATATACATTACTTTATTTTTCATTCTAGTCATCATCCTGTGCAATAGCTCAAAAACTATTCCTCTTATGTAACTGAAACTCTGTGCCCTTGGACCAATGCTTCCCCATTCCTCACCCCTCACCCCCAGCCTCTGGTAACCACCATTCTACTGTCTACATCTATGAGTTTGAACTTTTTAGGTTCCACATATAAGTGACTATAATTTGAAATATTTGTCTTTCTGTCAATTAAAAACAAAATTTTTTTAAAAGGAGCTTCTCATACAGCTAGATTGAGTAGCTGTACAAGAAAGTATTGTATTAAATGGGTGTTGCTTCTCTTCTGTGATTATATCCCTATTCTTACATCCATTGCTGTGACCTCAGTGTAGGAAGTGTTCTTTTGTGCCAGTCTCTTTGGTTACAACTATTATAGCTGTTCTCTGCTCTTCACCTGCTCTACCCTATATAAAGTTTGGTCAGGGTATCTCCAGACTTCACATATATCTCTTCCTTAGCCCCCAGAATTTACAGTGATGATGTCCAGGGAGGGTGTGAATGTCCTAGAGACTACCCCGGATAATTTGCGGAGATGTGGAAGAAGGAAGGAGGTGGTTGGAAGGAAGTTGTTTTACATTGATTTTTTTTTGTCTTACAAAAACCTAGAATTCATAAATACATAGAGAAATTATGGCAAGTTAAAAAATGTTTTGAGTTACATATGTTAAGACAATTTTGGGTCTAAAATAGGCCTTTATAACCATTCATTTTAGTAGTAGCTCTCAAAGATATTTTCTGTGTCACCCAATTCTGAACCCTTGAACAAACCATTGTTATATTTGTTGTGATAAATGTTGTTACAGGCATCAGTGTCATTCCAGGACGTGACTGTGGAATTCACCCGGGAGGAGTGGCAGCACCTGGGCCCTGTCGAGAGGACGCTGTACAGAGATGTGATGCTGGAGAACTACAGCCACCTCATCTCAGTGGGTGAGCATAGCTTACCATGGGGCTCTCTCGAGAATATATGTCCCTTTTTAAAAAGTATCAAAACACATGGACCCTTTATAGAGATTAAAGGGCTTTGGATTAAAAGGTTTGAAGTAGTTGAAACCTTTACAGAAACAAAAGCAACATGTCATTACTTTCCCATTAAAAATTTCAAATGAACACCCTCAGTTAATGCTTTGCTGCCATATCTTTTTTTCCCTTTGGAAATCCAAAAGCCTGTGAATCTGGTCCATGTCAATTATTTTGTTTACAGGATATTGCATTACTAAACCTAAGGTGATCTCCAAGTTGGAGAAAGGAGAAGAGCCATGGTCTTTAGAAGATGAATTCCTGAACCAGAGGTACCCAGGTGAGTGGGCATTAACAGAAGGAGCCCCCTGGGGGTACTTAGTCTTTAGAGGGAGAGCACCTTTGAAAGTTTTTTTGGAACAGCTTTATTGAGATATAATTCACATGCCTACAATTCACTCCTTTAAAGTGTACAGGTCAGTGACTTCAAGCAACCACAGATCAAAACTATTCAGGGAAGAAATATTGCACTTTCATTCAACATGTATAGACATTTTTTTCCTGTCACTATTCCCTGAACAATATAGTATAACAACTATGTACATGGCATTTACATTGTATTAGGTAGCATAATTAATATGGTGATGATTTAAAGTATACAAGAGGATGTGCATAGGTTATATGCAAATACTATGCCATTTTGTATCAAGGACTTGGGCATTTGTGGATTTTGGTATTTAAGAGAATCCTGGAACCAATTCCCCATGGATACCAGGGGATGACTGTATATGCAGACATCACCACAGTTAATTTTCATCACCTCAAACATACCTGTACCCTTTAGTTATCACTGTCCCATCCCCCCTGCCCTCTGCAGCCCTAGGTAACCACAGTCTACTTCTGTGTCTATAAATATGCCTATTTTAGACATTTTGTATAAATTGGATCATATATGTGGTCTTTTGTGATTGGTTTATTTTGCCTAGCATAATGTTTACAACTGATATAAAATACATGTTTCATTCTTTTTATGGCCAAATAATGTCCCGTTGTATGGATGTACCACCTGTTTGTCCATTTATCAGTCAGTAGATATTTGGGATTCCACCTACAAATAATGCTAATATAAACATTTATTTACAGGTTTCTGCATGGACAATTGGTTTTATTTCTCTTGTGTATATTCCTAGGAGTGAAACTGCTGGGTCATATGGTATCTGTGTCTTTATCTGTTTGAGGAACCACCAGACTGTTTTTCTAAATGCAGCATTTTTCCGTTCCTAACAACAGCATATGGGGGTTCTGATTTCTCCACATCCTCACCAGTGCTTGTTATTGTTTGACTTTTTGATTCTAGCCACCCCAGTGGATGTGAAGTGATATCTCACTGTGGTTTTGATGTACATTTCTGTATTAGTCAGCTAGGGCTATCATAATAAAATACCATAGGCTGGGTAGTTTAAACAACAGAAATTCTCATGATTCTGGAGGCTGGGAGTCTAAAATGAAAGTACTAATAAGTTGGTTTCTGGTGAAGCGTCTCTTCCTGGCTTGAAGACAGCCACTTTCTTGCTGTGTGTTCATGTGGCCTTTCCTCTGTGCACATGCAGTGGGAGAGAGAGAATACTCTGGTGTTTCTTCCGCTTCTTATAAAGATATCAGTACTACTGGATTAGGGTCCTTCCCTGTGACCTCATTTTTACCCTTTTTGCCTCCTTGAAGGCCTTGTCTGCAAATACAGTTACACTGGGGGTTAGGGCTTCAAGATAAGAATTTGGGAAGGACACAAATAAGTCTATAACAATTTCCCTGGTCACCAATGATATCAGGCATCTTTTTATATGCCTATTAGGCTTTGTACGAATAAATGATTCCAGAAATCTTAAAAAGTTATAGTTTTCAATGTCATTTTTAGAATAAAAAAGTAAAATCATCTTATTAGAAGTGAAGCACAATTAAGGTTTTTGTTTGAAGCCATACCAACAAATAGCATCACATAAAGAGTGACATAATTTAGATCAAGTATGTTGCTGAGTCACTAAATGTAAATTATTGGATCATATTGATTGTCTAAAAAGGATATCCCTAAATAAGTAACATAGAAAGATCATTATAAAAGATCAGTAAAGTTGGGCCAGGCGTGGTGGCTCATGCCTGTAATCCCAGCACTTTGGGAGGCCAAGGCAGACAGATCACGAGGTCAGGAGATGGAGACCATCCTGGCTAACACGGTGAAACCCTGTCTCTACTAAAAATACAGAAAATTAGCCAGGCACCTGTAGTCTCAGCTACTTGGGAGGCTGAGGCAGGAGAATGGCGTGAACCCAGGAGGCAGAGCTTGCAGTGAGCCGAGATAGCACCACTGCACTCCGGCCTGGGCAAAAGAGCGAGACTCAGTCCCAAAAAATTAAAAAAAAAAAAAAAATCAGTAAAGTTGTTGAGTCAATAAAGATAAAATAATGTAGATTTCATGTTCTATATCATTCAGATTTGAATTCAGGCAAGAAATTCATTAAAGTAGGAAAAGCTCTCATTCAAGAGCACAGGGAAATGAAAACCTTTAAGGATTTGAATGACTGCACCAAATAATATAATATCAATGTTTCTAAAACATAAAATAATGGAGTTCTAAGAACTTAAAACTCATTAGAATTAGGACATCATAATGTCTCATCTGATTAAACAGTAGGTACAGTGGACATTAAATAAATATGCCTAGAGAGGCTATAAATTACATTTGTATTAAAGTGAACCATACATTTGTGTATATGTATGCTAATGCAAAAAACAAAACTTTCATGTTTTAATTGAATAATGATAAAATAGAGTATACTATTAGTCTAAAGAGAAAACCTCAATAAATCTAACAAATTAGAATAAACACAAACAGTATTCTCTGAACCTAGTTTGGTAAATCCAGAAATTAATAATAAAATGAAAAAAATCCACTTGAAAAAATTTTAGTATCTCTTTTAAACAATATACAAAAAAGTGTAATGCAATTTTGGATTTGATTTCTGTAATGAAATAATTGTAACTGCAAGTTAGAAACCATCAGGTATAGCTAAAGTAGTGGACAGAAGGAAGTTCGTAGTCTCATTAATTAAGCAAGAACAGCATCAAAAATACAATAGTGAAAACAGAAGAATTTAAAAGTAAAATTAAAAATAAAATGGAAAACAGAAATGGAATGTTTCTTACAAGAAAAATAAAATGAATTAAACTTCAGCTAACCCTATCAAAGAAAAAAGAGAGGAAACACCTATATAATAAATTCAAGTCAGGATACATCTGTAAAGAGATAACGCTATACCAAACACAATCCCATTCATAAAAACGAGTGATACAGGAGGATTTGCTGCTCTACCAGATATTGAGGCTTTATGTAAAGTGCTGTGTAGCTAAGTAGCATGGAGCTGGGGGGTGGGATGATTTAGTAAATTAGTGAAACAGAGTAGAAAGTTAAAGAAAAAAACATGAGGCCAGGCGTGGTGGCTCATGCCTGTAATCCCAGCACTTTGGGAGGCCAAGGTGGGTGGATCACAAGGTCAGGAGATGGAGACCCGTCTCTACTGAAAATACAAAAAAATCAGCCAGGCGTGATGGCAGGTGCCTGTAGTCCCAGCTACTTGGGAAGCTGAGGCAGGAGAATGGCGTGAACCCAGGAGGCAGAGCTTGCATTGAGCCGAGATTGCACCACTGCACTCCAGCCTGGGCGACAGAGCAAGACCCCATCTCAAAAAAAAAAAAAAAAAAGACAAAAGAAAAAACATATACTTGATAGACATCTTAGATAGATGACACTGGAGAACAATGAGGAAAGGATCTTGAGGTATCCATATAGATCAAAACAAAACAAAAAGTCGAATTCAGTTGGCTTAAGACCTAATTATCAAAACAAAAGTAGAAATATTCTAGAAGATCATATAGAATAGGTTAATGACTCTTCTTAGGGAAGGATTTAATAAAATACAGAATGCATTACCCAGGGGAAGGATGGAGTAAATGTATTCCTTTCTACTCTACCCACTAAGTGCAGCTAAATATCTGTATATAGAAGCATGCCTCAGAGATATTGCAGTTTCTGTTCCAGACCACTACAATGAAGCAAATTTCACAATAAAGCAAGTTACACACAATGTTTGTTTTCCTAGGGCTTATAAAAGTTTTATGTTTACACTATACTTTAGTCTTTTAGATGTGCAATAACATGTCTAAAAAACAGTATGCATGCCTTAATTAAAATATTTGTTTGCTAAAAACTGCTGAGTCAAACACAAAGTGAGCACTTGCTGTTGGAAAAATGGCACCAACAGACTTGCCCAACTCAGGGTTGCCACAAACCTTCAGTTTGTAAAGAATGCAATATCTAGCCAGGCACAGTGGCTCACACTTGTAATCTCAGAACCTTGGGAGGCCGAGGCAGGCAGACCACTTGAGGCCAGGAGTTTAACGAGCCTAGCCAACATGGCAAAACCCTGTCTCTACTAAAAATACAAAAAAATTAGCCAATCATGGTGGCTCGTGCCTGTAATCCCAGCTGCTTGGGAGGCTGAGGCACGAGAATTGCTTGAATCTGGGAGGTGGAGGTTATGGTGAGCTGAGATCACACTACTGAAGGGTGGAAAGAAGAATGAAGATGCACTAGGGGTCTTGGCACCTGACAAAATACAAGGTGGTTAGTGTTATCAGAGTCCTTGTGGGGCTCCTGATCTTTCACCCATGCCCAGGGTTAATGTAGAAGCCTCAGCTAGGCACGGTGGCTCACACCTGTAATCCTAGCATTTTGGGAGGCCGAGGCGGGTGGATCACCTGAGGTCAGGAATTCAAGACCAGCCTGACCAACGTTGCAAAACCCCATCTCTACCAAAAGTACAAAAATTAGCCAGGCGTGGTGGCAGGTGCCTGTAATCCCAGGTACTCAGGAGGCTGAGGCAGGAGAATCGCTTGAACTCGGGAGGCAGAGGTTGCAGTGAGCCAAGATTGCGCCACTCCATTCCAGCCTGGGTGACGAGAGAAACTGTCTCAAAAGGAAGGAAAAAAAAAAAAAAGTAGAAGCCTCCTCTTCCACCCCCAGGGGGTCAGATCAGTGGGGAACTGGACTTCCTTCCCCACGTAGCAGGCAGTGATGCTGCACCTCACTCCCGCTAGTATAACTTCAGAGGAGGCTCACTAAAACTGAATATTAATTTTGATAAAGTCCAACTTACTAGTTTTCTTTTACAGAACCTGCTTTTGTTGTTCTATCTAGAAACCTTGAAACTCAAAGTAACAGATTTAGGAATCCTATTTTCTTCTAGAAATTTTACAGCTTCAGTTTTTACACTTAGTTGATAATCCATTTTGTGTTAAATTCTATAGAAAGTATGAGTTATGTGTCAAGTTAAATGTTTTTGGAACAGGGAGTCCAGTTATTCCAGCATCACTTTTTGAAAAGACTGTTACTTCTCCACTGAACAGCATTTCCACCTTTCTTAGAAAACAGATGGCTGTACATTTGGGGGTCTATTTTTGTAGTTTAATATTCCTTTTCATTCATCTACATGTCTTTCCTTATGCCAATACCACATTAACTTGATTACTCTAGCTTATTAAGTTTTGAAGTCAAGTACTTCTCCAGTTTTCATCTTGTGTATAAATTTTTAAATGAGGTTCATAATCTTTACAAAGGAAACATGTTGGCATTTAAACTGGAGTGGCATTGAATCTGTAGAACTTAGGAGAATTGACATCTTAACAACGTACAGTCTTCCAGTCCATACACAAAATATCCCTACTGATTTATTTACTGTTTCTTTGATTTCTTTCATCAATGTCTTTTAGTTTTTAGAACACAGATAACGAGGCTTTTTTAATTTTTGTTTTTAATTTTGTTTTGGTGCTGTAATATTGTTTCTGTGATTTAAAATTCCAATTCATCATTGTATGTTTGTAGGCATAGATTTGTATATTGGCCTTAGATTCTGCCCTTGCTAAAAACACTTATTAGTTCAAGGAACTTTTTTGATTTTAAACTTTCTGTGTAAATTTACTCTGTATCTTTGTGTTTTTATTCTTACCTTTTTGCACTGGCTGGTCCTTCCAGTGCAATCTTGTGTAAAGCTACTGGTAGTGGGCATCTTTGTCTTTTTCCTGATCTTAGAGGGAAGACATTCAGTCTCTCTTGAGTATAATGTTAGTTATAGGCTTTTTATAGATTACTTTTATTAAATTAATAAATGGATTTTGAATTTTGTTAAAATTTTTGGCATTGATGTAGTGTGTGATTTTAGTTCTTCAGACTAATGATAGGAGATTACATTGACCTGAAATGCAGCATAAAAACTATAGTTTTTATAGTATTGCAGTGTAGTAACTGTTTGGCATTTTTGAGGTAAATTTCACTGATACATTATCTATGTTTATATATTTCAGTGTACTTTTTGGGACATTTTTGCATTTATGTTATGGGAGATATTGGTCTGAAAGCTTCTTTTCTTGAATAGTATTTGCCTAATCTTGCTATGAGGATGAGGCAGGCCTTATAAAATGATTTGGGAAATATTCCATCTTTTATTTTCTAGAAGACATTGTGTAGGATTGGTATTATTTCTTCCTTGGATGTTTGGTAAAATTTACTAGTTAAAACTATTTGGTCCAGAAGTTGTTCTTTGGAATTGCACACACACACACACACACACACACACACACACACACACATACACATATATAGAGGAAGATTTCATTACATTCTTAAGCCTTATTTACATATGCAAACATAGTTAAAATTTGAGTAAATTAGACATTCAGTTAACATATCCTCCATCATAATGAAGTAAGTTAATATGTTGTCGTAAATATCCTTTTCACTGACAGCTCCTTTAGAAAAAAAGTCTTTTAGATTATTCTGCCATTATGTTTTAACATTTGACATAGAATATATTCTCTGTGGTTACAATACACATTCACCTGCCTCTTCTTTCCACTTAGATTGTCCAAATAAAGTTAGTTTGCTTTTATAGTTAAAAAAAAAAAAAAGAGAGAGACTAGAATGCTGTTACAAAACGGTGTCAGAGCTAGCTACTTCACTTTTCACCATGTAAGGATATAACAAGAAGTGAGTGGTCTGTAAACCAGAAGAGGTCTTCACAAGAACACAGTCATGTTGGCACCCTAATCTCAGACTTCCAGTCTCCTGCACTGGGAAAAATAAATGTTTATTCTTTAAGCCATTTAGTCTATGGTAATTTGTTGTAGTAGCCCGAACTAAGACAGAGTTATTGTTATTGTTGTTTTATTATCTCTTGAATGTCTGTTAGTAGTTAGTCCTCTCTTGAATTTTTGGTATTGGTAATTTGTGTCTTCTCTTTTTTTCTCTCTGATGGTTTTTATCATTAAAAAAACTTTTTAAAAAATTAAGCTTTTGGTTTGACTTTTTTGTCATCCTTCTACTTTCTTTCAACTTAATGTCCTGTCTTTATCTAGTTTCCTAAGGGGGAAACAAGCATCTGACTGGAGATCTTTCTTTTCAAATATAATTTTTTTAAAGACAGAGTCTCACTCTGTCACCCAGGCTGGAGTACCGTGGCTCACTGCACCTCCACATCCCGAGTTCAAGCAATTCTCCTGCCCCAGCCTCCTGAGTAGCTGGGATTACAGGTGTGCACCACCACACTCGGCTAACTTTTGTATTTTTAGTAGAGAAGGGGTTTCACCATGTTGGTCAGGCTGGTCTCAAACTCCTGACCTTGTGATCCACACACCTCAGCCTCTCAAAGTGATGGGATTACAGGCGTGAGCCACCGCGTCTGGCCAAAAAAATTTAAGCCCCAAATTTATCTCTGTGTACTGCCTTAGCTGTATCCACAAATTTCTGTATTCTAAGTTGTTTTGTTTACATTCACTTCAAAATATCTCATTTGAGAATTCTTTCACCCATGGGTTAATTAGGAATGTGTAACTTACAGTTCTTTTGTATTTCTCCAGATAAATTTGTGTTTACTGATTTCTGGTATAATTTCTCTGTGGCCCAAGATCATCCTCTGTATAATTTATTTCTTCTATATTTCTGAAGGTTTGTCTTACAGTCTAGAATATAGTCTGTTTTGATGATTGTTCCATGTGCATTTCAGAAGAATGTGAATTCAGCTGTTGAATGCATTGTGTCTTCAGGTTTGAAGCCATGGTTATTGCAAGTGCTACTTTATCTTATCTCTTCTGCTTGAGTATTGGGTCTACTGTGTATTCCTGCCTCTCCTCTTACTTCTGTGCTTCTTTTTTTCTTGTTTCCTTCCCATAGCTGCTATGAGTTCCTGTCAGTGCCCTAAAACAACTTATTATATTCTTGCCCTTGCAGATTAAGACATTTGTTCCATAAATTAGATAATAATTTGGTTCTAGGCAGAATTTTGGTAGTGGCTGCTGTGACCATCTCCCAGCATATCCTAAGAATGGAACTTTCTCAGGATTCTTCATGGCTCATGGAAGAAAACATATAAGAGCATGCAGATCCTGTGTATCTACGGCAGGGAACATTAGCTCCCTGCTCAGCCTCCATGGAACCACAGGATTGTATCATTTTGGTTTGGCCTGAGCATGAGAAAACATCAAAAGTGTTTCCTGTTCTGTTAGACCACCATTTTCTCAGACCTCTGGCTGGAAGAAGCAGGCTTTTCTTTGTGCTCTTTTTGTCTGTGCCTGTCAGTGCAGGATTGTAGGTTTCTTCAGCACCCAGTCTAGGATATAGAATAGCCTTGGAATTCCATACTGTGTCATTTCTTAAGTCCTGAAGTCCACTTTCTTTCCATTTTGTAGTATTCGTATATTTGTATATTTGTTAATCTTTTTTTGTTGTTTTGTTTTTTCTGTAGGGATTTTTAATTGTAAGAGGGAAGATGTGGGAGGAAAGGGGTTACTACTCCACCTTGACTGGCCCCGGAAATAATACCTGTTTTATAAACAGCATGGATGAGGAGAGAGTCTGTCTGTGTGCATGAAGTATTTAATATTTGGAAACATGACCAGAAACAATAGAATAAAATACATAACAAAACAGGGGCCGGGCACAGTGGCTCATGCCTGCAATCCCAGCACTTTGGGAGGTCAAGGCAGGAGGATCGCTTGAGCTCAGGAGTTTAAGATCAGCCTGGGCAATGTAGCAAGACCCTCTCTCCACTAAATATAAAAAAAATTAACAGGACATGGTGGCATATCCCTGTAGTCCCATCTAGTAGGGAGGCTGAAGTGGGAGGATCACTTGAGCCTAGGAGTTCAAGGCTGCAGTGAGCTATGATCATGCCACTGCACTCCAGCCTGGGTGACAGAGCAATACCCTATTTCAAAAACCAAAACCAAAATCAAAATATGAGTATAAGTTCTTCTCCATGAGAAATGTAAGATTTATACTATATTTTCAATTTTTCTCATTTTAGGGTATTTTAAAGTTGATCACATCAAAGGGATCCGGGAAAAACAAGAAAAACCTCTGTGGCAAGAAATATTCATCAGTGATGCTGACAAAACATTGAGTAAAGAAGGACAGAAAGTTTTAGAAAAACCATTTAATCTGGAAATAGCTCCAGAGCTTTCAGAAAAAATATCCTGTAAATGTGACTCACACAGAATGAATTTGCCAGTTGCTTCTCAATTAATTATAAGTGAAAGAAAATATTCAAGAAAGAAGACTGAATACATGAATGTGTGTGAGAAACTGCAGCTTGATATTAAGCATGAGAAAGCTCATGCTGAAGAGAAATCTTATGAACATGGTGAAAATGCTAAAGCTTTCAGTTATAAGAAAGATCAGCATTGGAAATTTCAAACTTTGGAGGAATCTTTTGAATGTGATGGATCTGGACAAGGTTTATATGATAAGACAATTTGTATTACACCTCAGAGTTTTCTAACAGGAGAAAAGTCCTGTAAGGATGATGAATTTAGAAAAAACTTTGATAAAATCACTTTATTTAACCACATGAGAACTGACACAAGGGGGAAATGCTCTGATCTTAATGAATATGGGACATCCTGTGACAAAACCACCGCTGTTGAATACAATAAAGTTCACATGGCTATGACACACTATGAGTGTAATGAAAGGGGGATTAATTTCAGTAGGAAGTCACCCCTCACTCAATCTCAGAGAACTATTACAGGATGGAGTGCTTTTGAAAGCAATAAATGTGAAGAAAATTTTAGCCAGAGCTCAGCCCATATAGTACATCAGAAAACACAAGCTGGAGATAAATTTGGTGAACATAATGAATGTACAGATGCCCTCTACCAGAAATTAGACTTTACAGCACATCAGAGAATTCACACAGAAGATAAATTCTACCTTTCTGATGAACATGGGAAATGCAGAAAATCCTTTTACCGGAAAGCACACCTCATTCAGCATCAGAGGCCCCACTCAGGAGAGAAAACTTACCAATATGAGGAATGTGCAAAATCCTTTTGTTCAAGTTCACATCCTATTCAGCATCCTGGAACTTATGTGGGATTCAAACTTTATGAATGTAATGAATGTGGGAAAGCTTTCTGTCAGAATTCAAACCTCAGTAAACATCTGAGAATTCACACAAAAGAGAAACCTTGTGATAACAATGGCTGTGGGAGATCTTACAAGTCACCCCTCATAGGACACCAGAAAACAGATGCAGAGATGGAACTCTGTGGTGGCAGTGAATATGGGAAGACATCACATCTCAAAGGACATCAGAGAATTCTCATGGGGGAGAAACCCTATGAATGTATTGAATGTGGGAAAACTTTCTCCAAGACATCACATCTCAGAGCACATCAGAGAATTCACACAGGTGAAAAACCCTATGAATGTGTTGAATGTGAGAAAACTTTCTCTCACAAGACACACCTCAGTGTACATCAGAGAGTTCACACAGGGGAGAAACCCTATGAATGTAATGACTGTGGGAAATCTTTTACCTATAACTCAGCCCTGAGAGCACATCAAAGAATTCACACAGGTGAGAAGCCCTATGAATGCAGTGACTGTGAGAAAACTTTTGCCCATAATTCAGCCCTCAGAGCACATCATAGAATTCACACGGGGGAGAAACCTTATGAATGTAATGAATGTGGAAGGTCTTTTGCCCATATTTCTGTTCTCAAGGCACATCAAAGAATTCACACAGGGGAGAAACCCTATGAATGTAATGAATGTGGGAGATCTTTCACCTACAATTCAGCCCTGAGAGCACATCAGAGAATTCACACAGGTAGAAAACCCTATGAATGTAGTGACTGTGAGAAAACTTTTGCCCATAATTCAGCCCTCAAAATACATCAGAGAATTCACACGGGGGAGAAACCCTATGAATGTAATGAATGTGAGAAAACATTTGCCCATAATTCAGCCCTTAGAGCACATCAGAATATCCACACAGGGGAGAAACTCTATGAATGTAGTGAATGTGGAAAAACTTTTTTCCAGAAGACACGCCTCAGTACACATCGGAGAATTCACACAGGGGAGAAACCCTATGAATGTAGCAAGTGTGGGAAAACTTTCTCCCAGAAATCATACCTCAGTGGACATGAGAGAATTCACACAGGGGAAAAACCGTATGAATGTAACGTATGTGGGAAAACTTTTGTCTATAAGGCAGCCCTCATAGTGCATCAAAGAATTCACACAGGGGAGAAACCCTATGAATGTAACCAATGTGGGAAAACTTTCTCCCAAAGAACACACCTCTGTGCACATCAGAGAATTCATACTGGGGAAAAACCCTATGAGTGTAATGAATGTGGGAAAACGTTTGCTGATAATTCAGCCCTCAGGGCACATCACAGAATTCACACAGGGGAGAAACCCTATGAATGTAATGACTGTGGGAAGACTTTCTCCAAGACATCACATCTCAGAGCACATCTTAGAACTCGCTCAGGGGAGAAACCCTATGAATGCAGTGAATGTGGGAAAACCTTCTCTGAGAAGTCATATGTTAGTGCACATCAGAGAGTTCATACGGGGGAGAAACCCTACGAATGTAATGTATGTGGGAAGCCATTTGCCCATAATTCAACCCTCAGAGTACATCAAAGAATTCACACAGGGGAGAAATCCTATGAATGTAATGATTGTGGGAAAACGTTCTCCCAGAAATCACACCTTAGTGCACACCAGAGAATTCACACAGGGGAGAAACCCTATGAGTGTAATGAATGCGGAAAAGCTTTTGCCCAAAATTCAACTCTCAGAGTACACCAGAGAATTCACACAGGGGAGAAACCCTATGAATGTGATGAATGTGGGAAAACTTTTGTCCGTAAGGCAGCTCTTAGGGTACATCACACCAGAATGCATACCAGAGAGAAAACCCTAGCATGTAATGGATTTGGGAAGTCCTGAGGGAATGCATACCTTACCACATAACACGTAGTGCAGAAACTCATGTGACATAGGCTGGGAACTTGTTTCCCTTATCCATTTCCTTTTTCATTAGGCTCATAGTTTGTGGAAAAATCCCAATATGCCGTTTATTCAGGTGGGGCTGACCATGGGATGTGGTGCTAATGATAAATATTACATTTACCCTTGGCCCTTAAAAAAAAAAAAGAAAAACCCTCACAGTCTTCCTGGTTCATAAGATGGATTTGGAGGTTATTTCTGCAGCAAACTTGGGTCCTGTGTGTTCAAAACCATAGAGCACAAGGTCAAGGAAGCTAGAGTCTGAAAAACGAACAATTCACTTCCAGGTCTTCATCAGGGTTTTGTTTTTGTTGCTTTAAAGCAAGAGTTAAGTTTATAGTCTGTTAAGCTCTTACAAATTTGGCTTATTAGTTAAATGGACGTAGTTTAGCTTAAACTTTATGTTAGAGTGAGATGAAACCCTATGAATATAATCAGTTTTAGAAAAACTAATCAGTTTATTGTGCATCAGAGACGTCACATGAAGAAGAAAACTTGTCGACATCCAGGATGATCAGGAGCCTTCATTAAAACAGAAATTTTAGGGAAAACCACAAAAACCTTCGTAAAGTGAATTGCATTAAACATCAATTATAATAAAATTTCATATTTTGAATAAATGACATTTTTCCTAGGTATTTTTTTCTGAGGAAATATGTCAGTTTTAGAATTGGAGATAAAATATTCACCTAGAACTGATGTACCAAGCTTCTGTTTTGTAATATCAAAAATTTTATAGAACATATATAAGAAAATATTTACCTATAGAAAAACTCACTGTAGAATGTGAAGTTAAAAATGGAATAATTTGAATTCTGTGGAGAATGTGAATAAATGTGGAGAAGTTTGTTATTGCTAATCGATTGCAGAATGGCAAATGTTGCTGCCTGATCCTTCCTCTGGAAGCTTCGTCTCAGAGGGGTACTAGGCTGTATGAGGTGTCAGTCGGCCCCTACTGGGAGGTGTCTCCCAGTTAGGCTACTCGTGGGTCAGGGACCCACTTGAGGAGGCAGTCTGTCCATTCTCAGATCTCCAGCTCCATACTGGGAGAACCACTACTCTCTTCAAAGCTGTCGGACAGGGACATTTAAGTCTGCAGAAGTTTCTGCTGCCTTTTGTTCAGCTATGCTCTGCCCCTAGAGGTGCAGTCTACAGAGGCAGGCAGGCCTCCTTGATCTGTGGTGGGCTCCACCCAGTTCGAGCTTCCTGGCCTCTTTGTTTATGTACTCAAGCCTCAGCAATGGCAGACACCCCTCCCCCAGCCTTGCTGCCACCTTGCAGTTTGATCTCACACTGCTGTGCTAGCAGCGAGCAAGGCTCCGTGGGCATGGGACCCTCCAAGCCAGGCACAGGATATAATCTCCTGCTGTGCCATTTGCTAAGGCCATTGGAAAAGCACAGTATTAGGGTTGGAGTGTCCTGATTTTCCAGGTACTGTCTGTCAGGGCTACCCTTGGCTAGGAAAGGGAATTCCCTGGCCCCTTCTGCTTCCCGGGTGAGGCAATGCCCTGCCCTGCTTTGGCTCATGCTCCATGGGCTGCACCCACTGTCCAACAAGCCCCAGTGAGATGAACCTGGTACCTCAGATGGAAATGCAGAAATCACTCATCTTCTGCGTCACTCACGCTGGGAGCTGTAGACTGGAGCTCTTCCTATTTGGCCATCTTGGAACCTCCCCTCATGTAAATTTCTTTTAAAGATAATTGGTTAAACTGAATGATAACAATGTGTTGTTATTGCAACATATGTATATACAAATAAAGTATATGACAAAAAAGCATAAAGACTGAGAGGGGAGAAATGCAGGTATACTATTGTAAGGTTTGAATAGTATATGTGAAATGGTATAATTCACTTGAAGCTAGATTGTGATAAGTTTAAGACATATACTATTACCCCACAGCAAACACAAAATTAGCAAAATAAAGAATTATAATTTTAAGCCAAAAAATACCAGAGACAAGTCTCAATCAATTCAGAAGTTTATTTAGCCAAGGTTAAGGACATACCCATGACATAGCCTTAGGAGGTCCTGAGAACATTTGCCCAAGGTGGTCTGGCTACAGCTTGAATTTCCATGTTTTATGGAGGTATAAGACATGAATCAGTACATGTAAGACATACACTGGTTAGGTCTGGGAAGGTGGGGTGTATTAGGGTTCTCTAGTGGGACAGGACTAATAGGATAAATTTATATGTGAAAGGGAGTTTATTAAGGAGTATACACTGTCACAAGGTGAAGTCCCAAAATAGGCCATCTGCAAGCTGAGGAGCAAGGAAGCCAGTCTGAGTTCCCAAATCTCAAAAATAGGGAAGCCAACAGTGCAGCCTTCAGTCTGTGGCTGAAGGCCCAAGAGCCCCTGGCAAACCACTGGTGTAAGTCCAAAAGTCCAAAAGCCGAAGAACTTGGAGTCCAATGTTCAAAGCCAGGAAGCATACAGCATGGGAGAAAGATGAAGGCCAGAACACTCAGCCAGTCTAGTCCTTCCACATTCTCCTGCCTGCTTTATTTTAGCTGTGCTGGCAGCTGATTAGATGGTGCCCACCCAGATAGAGGGTGGGTCTGCCTCTTCTAGTCCACTGATTCAAATGTCAGTCGTCTTTGGCAACATCCTCACAGATACATCCAGGAACAACACTTCGCACCCTTCATTCCAATCAAGTTGACACTCAATATTAACCATCACATGGAGCAATGTGAAGGGGGAGGAAGGGGCAGTGGGGGGGTTGTGGCCTGCAAGTCATAAGTGGATTAAAAGATTTCCTGATTGGCAATTGGTTGAAAGCTTTTATCTAAAGCCCTGGAATTAATAGAAGGGTTAAAATAAGGGGTTGTGGAGACCAAGGTTTTTATTATGCAGATAAAGCCTCC